>NC_000010.11:50294610-50446125 GCF_000001405.40 Homo sapiens
CTGAAAGCAACCCTCTCCTCCCCAGGAGCAGAGCCACAGCACAACTGTTGCCACTCCAACCTAAGCATTCCTCCAAGAGCCTGGTGATTGCCCTGCCTCTGCCTACCATAGCCCATTACCACACACACCACTGGGGGCCTGAGAACAGGTGTGCTTAGCCTGGATCCACCCACCCCCATGCCCAAGCACAACATCTAGGGGCCTGGGATTCCCCCGCCCCATCAAACATTGTTGGCATCTAAGCATTCCTTCCAGGCTCTTGAGGATAGGCCCACTAAATCTGCTGCTAATACCACAGCTGGTATGCACCACTAAATGCCACCTAAAGGCCTGGAGACTGGCCTACCCAGCCCATTGCAGCCACCAGCACCACCAGTACAGGCTGCTTGGAAGTCAGAGGATTCTCTCACCACTGCTACTGCCATTGCCCATTCCACGCCTGCTGCCCAGGCACCTGGCCCACTTCTGCAACTGCTGGCACCTGAGATGGCCACCTGTGGGGGTCCAAGAATCAGTCCCCCTGGACCCATTAACACCAGGGTCAACATATGCTGCCCTGCAAGGATAGGCATGCTTGGCTTACTGCTGCCACCATTGGGGCCTAAGTGCAGGCTCAACTGCTGTCCCTGTCTCCAGCAAAACTTTACCACAGCCTTCACTAACAGTATTCTAAACCACTGAGTAAATCAGACACTACTGGTGGTGTTTATAGCCAAATAAATTATACAGAGATTATACTACTGCACATACCCAGAATCAAAGCCAAAGTGCCCTGCTCAACCAATACTATAGATACACCTTCGGGAAAAAGTCATTCCCAACTAAAAGGCAAATGCAAACAAATTTAAGGAGTGACTGTTACACCAGATGCACAGATACCAATGTAAGGATGGAAGAAGCATAAAAAGGCAATGAAATATGACACCTCCAGAGGAACACAATAATTCTCCAGCAACAGATTCCAACAAAAAAGTATAAAATCCCACATAAAAAATTCAAAATGATACTAAAGAAGCTCAGTGAGATACAAAATAACTCAAAAAGCAAAACAAAGACATCAGAAAAACAATTCAGTATTCAGGATATGAAAGAGAAATTTACAAAAGAGATAGATATCATAAAAAATAACCAAACAGAAATTCTGGAACTGAGGAATTCAATTAATGAAATACAAAATTTGAAAGCTTCAACAATAGGCTAAATCAAGCAGAAGAAAACATTTCAGAACATAAAGACAGGTCTTTTGAAATAACCCAGTCAGGCAAAAATATAGAGAAAAATTTAAAAAGAATGGACAAAGCCTATGTGACATATGGGACACCATAAAGCAACCGAAGATTCAAATTTTCAGTGCTCCACAAGGTGAAGAACAAATGAAAGGGTTAGATAATGTCCTTAATGAAATAATAGCTGAAAACTTTCCAACTTTAGCAAGAGATTTAGACAGCCATACACAGGAAGCTCACAGATCCCCATACAGATATTATCATTCAAAAAGGTCTTCTCCACAGCACCTTATAATAAAACTGTCAAAAGTCAAAGAGAGAATTCTAAAAACAGCAAGAGGAAAAGCATTTAGTCACTTATAAGGGAATCCCCATCAAATTAACAGGGATTTCTCAGCAGAAACCTCACAGTCCAGGAGAGATTGAAAATAGTCCAAGTGCTGAAAGAAAAAAATTGCCATTGCTTTTGGTGTTTTAGACCTGAAGTCCTTGCCCATGCCTATGTCCTGAATGGTAATGCCTAGGTTTTCTTCTAGGGTTTTTATAGTTTTAGGTCTAACGTTTAAGTCTTTAATCCATCTTGAATTAATTTTTGTATAAGGTGTAAGGAAGGGATCCAGTTTCAGCTTTCTACATATGGCTAGCCAGTTTTCCCAGCACCATTTATTAAATAGGGAATCCTTTCCCCATTGCTTGTTTTTCTCAGGTTTGTCAAAGATCAGATAGTTTTAGATATGTGGCGTTATTTCTGAGGGCTCTGTTCTGTTCCATTGATCTATATCTCTGTTTTGGTACCAGTACCATGCTGTTTTGGTACCAGTACCATGCTGTTTTGGTTACTGTAGCCTTGTAGTATAGTTTGAAGTCAGGTAGGGTGATGCCTCCAGCTTTGTTCTTTTGGCTTAGTAACGGCAACAAAAGCCAAAATTGACAAATGGGATCTAATTAAACTAAAGAGCTTCTGCACAGCAAGAGAAACTACCGTCAGAATGAACAGGCAACCTACAAAATGGGAGAAAATTTTCACAACCTACTCATCTGACAAAGGACTAATATCCAGAATCTACAATGAACTTAAACAAATTTACAAGAAAAAAACAACCCCATCAAAAAGTGGGCAAAGGATATGAACAGACACTTCTCAAAAGAAGACATTTATGCAGCCAAAAGACACATGAAAAAGTGCTCATCATCAGTGGCCATCAGAGAAATGCAAATCAAAACCACAATGAGATACCACCTCACACCAGTTAGAATGGCGATCATTAAAAAGTCAGGAAACAACAGGTGCTGGAGAGGATGTGGAGAAATAGGAACACTTTTACACTGTTGGTGGGACTGTAAACTAGTTCAACCATTGTGGAAGTCAGTGTGGCAATTCCTCAGGGATCTAGAACTAGAAATACCATTTGACCCAACCATCCCATTACTGGGTATATACCCAAAGGACTATAAATCATGCTGCTATAAAGACACATGCACACGTATGTTTATTGCAGCACTATTCACAATAGCAAAGACTTGGAACCAACCCAAATGTCCAACAATGATAGACTGGATTAAGAAAATGTGGCACATATACACCATGGAATACTATGCAGCCATAAAAAATGATGAGTTCATGTCCTTTGTAGGGACATGGATGAAATTGGAAATCATCATTCTCAGTAAACTATCGCAAGGACAAAAAACCAAACACCGCATGTTCTCACTCATAGATGGGAATTGAACAATGAGAACACATGGACACAGGAAGGGGAACATCACACTCTGGGGACTGTTGTGGGGTGGGTGGAGGGGGGAGGGATAGCATTAGGAGATATACCTAATGCTAAATGAAGAGTTAATGGGTGCAGCACACCAGCATGGCACATGTATACATATGTAACTAACCTGCACATTGTGCACATGCACCCTAAAACTTAAAGTATAATAATAATAAAAAAAGAAAAAAAAAGAAATAAAATCAAAGAAGCACAAAAAAAAGAAAAAAATTGCCAACAAAGGATACTATACCTAGCACAGCTATCCTTCATAAATGAAGGAGAAATGAAGTTTTCCCCAGACAAACATAGTAGAGGGAATTCACACCACTAGAGTGGTCCTACAAGAAATGCTTAAGTGAGTCCTACATGTGAAAACAAAAAGACAATAGCTACCATCATGAAAACACACAGAAGGATAAGACTCACTGGTAGGGCAAACACACAAATGAGGAAGAGAAAGAGCTCAAATATTACCACTACAGAAAACCACCAAGCCACAATGATATAGAAAAGAAACAAATGATATGCAAAACTACCAAAATTAATGAATAAAATGACAAGAATAAGCCCTCACACATCAATAACAACCTCGAATGAAAATGATTAAACTTTGCAGTTAAAAGATATAGACTGGGCCGGGCATGGTGGCTCACACCTGTAATCCCAGCACTTTGGAAGGCCGAGATGGGCAGATCACGAGGTCAGGAGATCGAGACCATCCTGGCTAACATGGTGAAACCCCGTCTCTACTAAAAATACAAAAAATTAGCCGGGTGTGGTGGCGGGCACCTGTAGTCCCAGCTACTTGGGAGGCTGAGGCAGGAGAATGGCATGAACCCGGGAGGCGGAGCTTGCAGTGAGCCAAGATCATGCCACTGCACTCCAGCCTGGGGGACAAAGCGAGACTCCATCTCAAAAAAAAAAAAAAAAAAAAGCTATAGACTGGCTGAATGATTTAAAAAAACAAGACACAACTATATGCTGCCTACAAGAAACTCATCTTAGTGTAAAGACACATATAGACCAAAAGCAAAGGAATGGAAGAAGATATTCCATGCAAATAGAAACCAAAAGGCCAATCCCTTTATCACTAGATAATGACTTTCTTTGTAACTATTTACCATTTTTGACAATTTAGCAAGAGGATATAACCATTCTAAAGATAAGCACCCAGGACCAGAGTACTTAGATATATGAAGCAAGTATTATTAGATCTAAAGGAATAGAATCTAATGCAATAATAGTTGGGGACTTCACTTCACTCTCAGCATTAGACACATCATTTAGATAGAAAATTAGCAAGGAAACTTTGGATTTAAACCACATTAAAACAAATGAACCTAAGATATTTACAGAACACTTCATTTAACAGGTATAGAATACATATTCTTCTCATCTGCATATGGAACACTCCCCAGAATAGGCCATATGTAGGACACAAAACAAGTCTCAACAAATTTTTAAACATTGAAATCATATCAAGAATCTTTTCAGATCACAGTGAAATAAGACTAGAAATTAATAACAAAAGAAACTTTGGAAATTGTACAAACACATAGAAAATAAACAACGTGCTCCTAAATGACCATTGGGTCAAGGAAGAAATTAAGGAGGAAATTTTTAAAAATTCTTGGAACAAATGAGAATTGAGACACAACATATCAAAGCTTATGAGATACAGCAAAAGCAGTGCTAACAGGGAAATGTATAGCAATAAACACCTACAGCAAAAAAGTAGAAAGATTTAAAATAAACAATCTAATGATGCACCTCAAGGAACTACTAAAGCAAGAAGAAACCAAACCCAAAATTAGTAGTATGAAATAAATTATGAAGATCAGAGCAGATCTAAGCAAAATAGAATCCCCCCCCCCCGCCAAAAAGGCAAAGATTCAATAAAACAAAATACTGGTTTTTTGAAAAGGTAAACAAAATCAAACCATTTGCTAAACTAACCAAGAGACAAAGACGCAAATAAATGAAATCAGAAATGGAAAAAGAGACATTAAAACTGACACCACAGAAATACAAAAGATCATCAGAGATTATTATGAACCACTATATACTAAAAAACTAGAAAATCCAGAAGAAATGGTACATTTCTGAGCACATACAACCTATAGTGACTGAATCATTAAACAACGAAAAACTTGAATAGACCAAAAAAGAAGTAATGAGACTGAATCAGCAATAAAAAGTCTCCCAACAAAGAAAAGCCCAGAACTGAACAGTTTCATTGTGGAATTCTACCAAATTTACCAAGGAAAATTAACAACAATCCTCCTCAAACTATTCTAAAAAATTGAAGAGGACGGAATTCTCCCCAACTCATTCTATGAGGCCAGCATTACCCTGATACTAAAACCAGACAAGGATGCAACAAAAAAAGAAAAACTACAGACAGGCCAGTATCCCTGATGATCATTGATGCAAAAATCCTCAACAAAATATCAGCAAACTGAATCGAATAGTACATCAAAAAGATAATACACCATGATCAAGTGGGACTTATTCCATGGATGCAAAGATGGTCCAACATATGCAAATCAATAAACAGGATACATCACAATGAAAAAAGGAAAAACAAAAACCATATGATCATCTCAATAGATGCAGAAACAGTGTTTGATACAATTCAACATCCCTTCATCATACAAAGTCTAACACCAAGCATAGAATGAACATACCTCAACATAATAAAGGCCATATATGACAAATCCACAGCTAACATCATACTGAATGGGGAAAAGCCTTTCCTCTAAGAACTGGAACAAGACAAGGATGCCCATTTTCTTCACTCTTATTCAACATGGTACTGGGAGTCCAAGCAATCAGGCAAAAGAAATAAAAGGCATCCAAATTGGAAAAGAGGAAGTCAATTTGTCCCTCTCTGCTGATGATATAATCTTATATCTAGAATAACCTAAAGATAACAAACTCTTAAATCTGACAAATTCAGTACTTACAGGATACAAAATCAACATATAAAAGTCAGTAACAACTAGTTCATACCAATAATGAACTAGTTGAGAAAGAAATCAAGAAGGCAATTCCATTTACAATAGCTACAAAAAATAAATGAAATACCTAGCAATAAATTTATCTAAGGAGGTAAAATATTGCTACAAGAAAAACTACAAATCTCTGATGTAAGAAATTGAGCAGGATACAAAAATATGAAAAGACATCCCATGCTCATGGATCAGAAGAATTAATACCATTAAAATGATATTAACTCAAAGCAATTTGCAGATTCAATGTAATCCCTATCAAAATACCAATGCCATTTTTCACAGTAATAGAAAAAACAATCCTAAAATTCATATGAAACCAAAATAGAGCCTGAATAGTCAAAGGAATTCTGAGCAAAAAGAACAAAGCTGAAGGCATTATATTATCTGATTTCGGTATAGATTACAAGGATATAGTAACGAAAACAACATGATTTGGATATAATAACAGACACATAGGCCAATGTAATGAAATAGAGAATCTAGAAATAAATCCACATATTTGGAGACAGTTAATTTTCTACAAATGTGTGAAAAACATACACTAGGGAAGGGACACCTTCTTCAATAAATGGTCCTGGGAAAATCGGATATCCCTATGTAGAAGAATGGAACTGGACCTGTATCTTTAACTGTATACAAAAATAAACTCAAGATGGATTAAAGACTTAAACATAAGATTTTATAGCTAAGACCTGAAAACTTTGACAACAAAACCAAAAATAGACAAATGGGACTATATCAAACTAAAAGGCTCTGCAAAGCAAAGGAAACAATCAACAGAGTGAAGACACCACCTGCTAAATGGGAAGCAAAGGAAACAATCAACAGAGTGAAGACGCCACCTGCTAAATGGGAGAAAAATATTTGCAAACTATTCATCCAACAAGAGACTAACATCCAGAATATACAAGGAACACAGACAGTTGAACAGTGAAAAAAAAAAATCCCATTAAAAAGTGGGCAAAGGGCATGAATTGAGATTTCTCAAAGGAGAAGACATACAATGGCCAACAGGTATATGAAAAAAAGCTCAACATTGCTAATCATCTTACCACAGTTAGAATGACTATTACTGAAAAAGACCAAAAAAATACCATATGATCCACCAATCCCACTACCGGGTATTTATTTATCCAAAAGAAAAGAAATCAGTATATGAAAAAGATACCTGCACTTACGTGTTTATTGGAGCACTATTCACAACAGCAACAATATAGAGTCAGCCTCAGTATTCATCAATGGACAAATGTATGAAGATGTGGTATATATACACACTGGAATACTATTTGGCCACAGAAAGGAATGAAATGATGTCATTTGCTGCAATGGATGGAACTGGAGATCATTATGTTAAATAAGTAAGACACCAAAATACAAATACTGCATGTTCTCACTCATTAGTGGGAGCAAAAGGAGTTGATCTTTTGAAGATAGAGAGAAAAAATGGATACCAGGGGCAGGGAAGGGTAAGTGGGGTGAAGACAGTTTGGTTAATGGGTACAAACATACAGTTAGATAGAAGGAATAAATTCTAATGTTTATAGGGTGATTATGGTTAACAATAATGTATATTTCAAAATAGCTAGAAGAGAGGACTTGAAATGTTCCCAAGACACAGAAACAGTAAATACTTGAAGTGATAATCCTAAATACCCTGACTTGATCATTACTCATTCTATGCATGTAGCAATATATCACATGTAGCCCATATTGTGTATCAACAAAAAAAGTCTTGAAAAACTGAGATTCAATCATATGGTTAAACTCTCCCCCTATCCAACATCTAACCACCACACCAATAGAGCTCCAGCAAGAAAAACAGTGGATTACAGTTAAAAGAGATACATGACACAGACCCTCTCTGAGGAGGACTACTTAGGGAAGCCCAAGTCAAAAGGGAGGGCCACAAATACAGCAGAAGAATTTGGAGCTAAGAACCAAAAGAAACTGCTAGAAATAGTCAACATCGTAACAGAAATGAAGAATGCCTTCGATGGGGTCATCATTAGAACAAACATGGCCAAGGAGAGTAGTATCAGTGAGCTTTAAGATATGTCAATAGAAACCTATCAAACTGAAAAAAGTGGGAGGCAAACATCCAAGAACTGTGGGACAATTTCAAAATGTGTAACTTATCATAACGGGAGTATCAGAAACAAAAGAAAGGGAAAGCAGAGAAGAAAGAAGTAATAATGGCTGACAACTTTTCGAAATTAATGACAGACACCAAACCACAGACCCAGGAAGCTCAGAGAACACCAAAAATAAATACCACCCTCACCAAAAAAAATCTACACCTATGCATTTCATATTCAATCTGTAGAAAGGCAAAGACAACGAGAAATTTTTGAAAGAAGTCAGAGAAAAAACATATTACCTATAGAAGAAAAGAATAAAATTATGGCAGACTTCTTGTGAGAAACTAGGTAAGCCAGAAGAAAGTGGAGTGAAATATTTAAAATGTTGAAAGAAAAAAGCCAGCCAACCTGCCCTGCAAGAAATGGGAAGTTCTTCAGGCAAAATGAAAATGATGTTGGTTAGAAGCTTGAACTACATAAGAAGAGCATCAGAGAATAAATAAGTGAAGATGAACAAAATCTTTACTTGTTCTTAATTGATCTGTAAGGTAATTGCTTGTTCAAAGTAATAAATGTAATAATGTGTTGAGTGATTATACCATATGGATAAGTCAAATGAATGACATCAATGTTCTAAGGGCAGAAATGAGAAATTGGGAATGTGTTGTTATAAAATGCCTACACTACACTTGAAGGCAGGCTTGTATTTGGAAAAAAGTTTATATTGTAAACTCTAGGGCAACCATTTAAAAATTCGTAAAAAGAATAACTGGTATGATAAGAGATAAAATAGAATCATAAATTGTTCAAAACTAAAGGAAGACAGAAAAAGGAAGGGATGAAGAGAGGACAAATGCAACAAACAGAAAAGAGTTACAAACATGATAGATATTCATTCAGTTATATCAACTATCACTTTAAATGTGAAAGGTCATTTAATTTCCTTCTGACTTGTACTGTAAACTAGGAGATGGATAAGTATTTTAAGGTGCTGATAAGCAGAATACCAAGTCAACAGCTTTGATTTGTTCAAATTGTTTCTTGACTACAGGGAGAAAAAAAAATAAAGGATGTCAATATCTAGTGATCCAAGCAACATATTGTTTTCTAGTAAATTCAGAAATCTGGTTGACTTTTTGTATATTGGTGGTCAAATTAAGGTTGGCATGCATTTCCATTGTATGAGGTATTATGAGATATTTATCACATTGATCAAAATTTGGCATGTGCTTGGGATACAAATAAAACATATAGCAATTAGGAAATCAGTCAAATTTTCCTCTCACACCTTATGGTGTAAATTTCTTGCTCCTCAGTCCATGGTGAGAGTATGCTTTACCACCATAGGCATAGGTTTCTCTCACTGCAGACTCTTACTGAAGAGTTTATGAAAGCTCACAGTATTGATGGGGGAGGGGGGAAACTTGGCTTCCAATAGGACTTTTACCAGTTACCAGTTGCATGCCCTTGGGCAAGTTATTTAATATATCTGAGTCACTTTGGTTGGTCTATCTGTAAAATGGCAATAATAATTACACTTTGTGGATGTGTGAGGGTTAACTAATACATGTAAAATGTCTAACTTAAGTGAGCCAAAAAAAAAAAAAAAAAGACATTGAGAAAGCACATGTCCTTATACAGGCAATCCTTACCAAGTGTACAATGATACTCTAGAATACAATGAGCTTTCTCCTTGTCCTTCCTGGGATTTGCACACTAGAGACCCAGAAGATATGTCAATTCATGAATCAGTGTAGTCAGCCATGAAGAACAATCAGCAGTGGATTTCTTGATACATATGTGGCATGTAAACTCATAACAAATTTTTATATAATGATTTCTAGTTTTTTAGGGAAAAAATCCTATTTTTAGCAAGTGCCAATATATCATTTCCACTTACTCAATTTACTTTCCCTTCAATATGGCAGCAGCTGATAGTCAAAGTTAGTGAAAGGCTATAACAGTTAAATAAAGACCTATCCAAGGGTTTGGCTCTATTTGCCTAAAGAGGCCACCACATTTCCCCTGTCTGATACACAAGTTTAAAGCCCCACACAGGAAAAGTTTTACTGGTTCTAATTTCCTTTTTTTTTTTTTTCGGAGATAGAGTTTCACTCTTTTGCTGGGGCTGGAGTGCAGTGGCACGGTCATGGCTCACTGCAGCCTCTGTCTCCCGGCCTCAAGCGCTCCTCCCACCTGTCTCCTGAGAGGCTGGGACCACAGGCATGTATCACCGTGCCAGGTTAATTTTTGTATTTTTTGTAGAAACTGGGTTTCATATTGATCAGGCTGGTCTTAATCTCCTGGGTTCAAGTGATCAGCCCACCTCGGCTTCCCAAAGTGCCGGAATTACAGGCGTGAGCCACCACACCTGGCCTCTGGTTTTACATTTCTAGCCTCCTTAACACATCCTTTATCAAAGACACATCTCCACTGTTGACATTTTCCTTTAGTCACCACATCAGAAATAATAATAACCTTTTATTCTTTTTAAATAGTTATTTTCCATTACCACTGGTTTATCATAGTACTATTACTCTATTTCTCACTTTGGATTTACTTTTCCTTTCCATCTACACTGGAGAAGCTATATTACTGCCAGATATAGGAAAAAAAACAATTTGGTTGAGAATTAGAGAATTCAAAATGTTAGTAAACATTGTTCTAAAGTTTGAATTTAACTTACATGTGACTCTTTTTATATATTAAAAAACTCTCTAGAATTTACTAAAGATTAGAATATATTTTAAGGAATCCCAAGGAAAAAAATCCAGATAATTATTAAAAGTCCCATGTCAAGCAGAAACACTCCATGAAGAAATTCTGAAACTGATTTTCTATCTTGCTTTAATGGCTCCATTTATGACTTCTGTGAAGAATGTGAACACAGTAGAAATAACAGCCATTTATTTTAAGTATCAGTTTTTATTAAAAAGTGCATTTTGATTAATTTATGATCTAGGTAAGCTGTAAGATACCAGTATACTCTCTGGAATAATAACTTTACAAAGATTTAAAACAAACAAAATTTTAAAAGCCTTTTTATTTCCTTCACCATTATTGTTTTACAATACAAATATCACCTTGTGAATACACAAAAAAATCCTACGGAAGATAATTCTGCTGCACGTAAAATACAGAATGGATATATATACTTCTTCATTCTTAAAAAACTATTTTGTTCTCCACATTGGCAAGTATAGAATAGAATACTTCCCCAAACATATGTATGTTAGGAGTAAAACTTAGAGTTACATGCAGTTTCTGCACAAATATCTTTTAAAGAAATAGATCTCTTTTTTGTTGTTCACCAACAAAATTGTCATGAGAGTATGGATAACTAATTCATAGCTTTCAAGTTTTAGGTAAGTGATCATTTTCAAAACTCTCTTTAAGAAAAGATATTCATGGCTGTTTTCATTGAGTAGTTAAAATTGAACTACCAAATCGACGATAAAATAATTTAAGTGGTACATGTCATTGCTACCTGATCACAATATGTGAACAGGCTCTGACTCTAATTAACAACCTCATTATTTAAGTCATTGCAATTTTAAAACCATAAGCAGTCTTCTGATTCAATTTAGCTATAAATGCAAAATTTAGTAGTGTATACATATATTTATATTTTCAAGGAATACTTTATTTTAAATAAAAACATTTAAGATTGCCTACTGACCATACAATCAAGACAAGAAAGGCACTAGAAACATAGACAAATTTCTCTCCCAAGATGCATTTTTAAATTTTAACTCTCTTCTCTCTGACATGTTAAAAATCTTTAAATTTGGTGTTCATAACATCATTTTGAAAAATAAAGTTAGGAAATACTTAGAAAATCACTTTATAACAGAATCTTTTTTTTTGCACTTTTTGAAACACTGCCTTTGCTGATTTTACAAAACCCAAAGTTACCAAACCTTTCTGTGTCTATCATTTTTATTTGAATATCGGTGCAACAGGTAGAAAGATTTCAGAATCAAACCCCATTCAGGTACTTAGAAACCTTCATAGAGACATTTGCTAGAAAATGGCTTACAGCCCAATCTTTGGGGCAAGAGATATGAAAAGTATGTTTTCCCAAGAAAATAATACGCTTTATTTCCAGATGTGACTGGAAAGACCAGAACTTATGATATAAAAGCTTACATTTATGCTGCTGCATCATATACAAAGGAACATGGTGGTTGCGGGTTATGTAAATCCCAAACTTATGAACAGGAAATGTGTACAGTGCATGATAGGTTAAATTTTTCTTTATTGTTGTCCAACGCAGGTCCTTTGGAGAGAAAAAAAGAT
Source organism: Homo sapiens (assembly GCF_000001405.40). Lineage (NCBI taxonomy): Eukaryota > Metazoa > Chordata > Mammalia > Primates > Hominidae > Homo > Homo sapiens. The sequence goes on from NC_000010.11 coordinate 50,306,994, forward strand.
CACAGTGCTGACCAGGTAACTCAATAGGTTAAGTCAAGGTAACCATTGAAAGATAATAGGATTAGGGAGGTGTTTATTTTATGGCATCTTCTCTCATGGAGTTCTTAGCACTTCGGACAATTTGTCTTTTCCCCACTTTGTACAGCTGTTATGTGTCATTCACCAGCCGGCTGTATTTAACTTGCCTACTGAGGTGGACTACTGGCCAGGGGAAAGGCCAATGGTAAGATCGAGGTACAATTCCTTGGACATTCTTTTCAAAGTACTGAAATGGCCTGTACCACCACACCCTGGCCAGGAGGTTCATCTGGGAAGCTTCCTTTAGCACCTAGGATAACAAAGAAACATAAACACATTTCTTACAATCTTTCACTTTAAGTTCAAATACTTGCCACGCTAAAATTCCCAAAGGACTCCATACCTGCCCTGCGTGTCCACCCACATATCCCAGCTTCTCTCTCTCATCACCATTCTACACTCCACATTCATCTACAAACTGAGCCACATCCCAGTAGAAAAACAACGCCAATTCTGGGAGGGCAAGGAGAACTTATGGCTCACTCATCTCTTGCTTATAAATAAACACCTCAGTTAGCTTTTTAGGTATTCCTCTTCTATGCTAAAAATGTTAACACTTAATTAAATGTTAAATATTAAGCTTGTGATGTGCCCCGGGTAGGGAGAAGAGGATAGGAAAGCAAATCAAGCAAGGAGGGACACAAGCTTAGAAAATATTTTTCATTTTTCAAGGACAATGAAAGTGCGTTCCTTATTCTAGAAGGAAGTAATTCCTCACATCATTATATTAATAAACTTTTTATTCTTAATTCTGAAGAGAATCAATGTCACAAAAAAACAATACAATCTTAGTTGATTACTACTTAAGAAAGAGAAACTTCAGACATCCACAGGTTCTTTGCACCCTGTCCAAGCCAGCAACATCAAGCCAGAAACAACAGAAGCTAAAATCAAAAGCGGGGAAACTCACTTGCTGATTGGCCATAGTGTGATACCACCAGAAGAGTCTCGTGGTGATGTAATATGCCACCACCACGTCCACAGTGTAGTGGTCATGCGCTAAGAGAATACAGAAGATTCCAACTACGCTGAGAAGCCAGCAAATCCAGTGATACCACCAGAGTCGCCGAGGGGAATCTGAAAGGGGGAGAGATTTGCAATAGTCCCATTATTCAAATGACATTAAGGGCACCCAACTATGCCTCTACTAATGCTTCTGAATCCAATTACCTTGAGTCTTCCCTTCTGAAAACAGATCTAGTGAATCTAAGGGCTGTCATTTATCTGTAACCAAGGTTAGAACAGAAACAGCTTTTTATGATGTGATTATACTAGTGATAGTAATTCATATTTGGTTCTTACTTGATTCATACAATCATAAATAGAGTTTAAAAGATGAGGCTAATCAAATAAGGACAGGTTAATGCATCATGTTTCGTTTTTAAAAACTGTCCATTGACATTTAAATTTACCTCTAGCTAATTTGGGGTTGATGCTCTACACAAAAATCAATACCTTTTGGCCCACAGAGCCTAATACAAGGACTAAGCAGTCATAACTGATTTAACTGTACTGCTTTCCAAGTTCTGCAACCATACACTAATCTGAAAGTCTTTGAGATTTTCATTTCTCAAATACAAGCAGAAAAGCATCCAGACGCCTGGGAATTCTAGTTCAAGTGCCTTCTCAAAGGTCGAATGGTGTCAGATAAATACTTGTCTGTATCCCCATTTGGGAAATTACCTGAGAAAAACATCAAAATTTCTATTAGTGCAGGCCTTTCTACCTTGGATTCTCAATTGTGGGATTCAGAGGCTCTGCAGTGTTAGGCAAAATGTTGTTTGAATATGATCTATACTCTCTACACCAGCATGACAGGTTCAGACTTTTATTGGATTCTCAATGGGTCCAAGAACCAGTCATTCATTCAACCAATATTCATTGAGCCTCTTACATGCCAGGGACAGGCAATGCTCTAGATACCTGGATCAATGAATAAAAAAGGCAAGGAGGCTGCCTTTGTGGGAAGATCCCTTCCTAGTGGGGAAGAGAGATAAGAGACAATACTTATAATAAATAATTTACACATTATGTTAGGTGTTAAAGGCTGTGGAAAAATAATAAAGTTGAGCTGGATAAGGGGGATCAGAAGTATAGGGAGTGAAGGGCAGTTTGCAATTTTAAATGGAGCAGTTAGGGTAGGAATATTCTAGTAATATTTGTATTTGATACCTTGACAATACAAAAACAAGAAACAGCTACCATTCAGTCTCTGTGTGACTCTATTAGTATCCATATATGCCATCTAATTTTAATGTTCATAAACTTTTTCCCACCCGATGAAGCAGATGTGAATATCTCATTCTAAACATGAGGAAACTAAGACTTAGGTTAAAGTTTCTTCCCAGGGTCATAGAGCTAGTAAGTGATAGTACCAACGCCTCTGCCTCTCAATATGACACATTGCCTTATTGTCAAGATGGATAAGCCTTGACCCCGTTAAAGAATTTCAGGTATCAGGCAGCAGGAGCCAGGAATCCCTCCCCCAGGGGTGCTGACATCTGGCCTATGTGATTCCTACTGTCCACATCCAGTTACATTCCAGTCCAAAGGCTAGATTATGCCCTGACAATTCTGAACAGATCTTGCTAGAACTCACTATATCTGCTCACGTACTAAGTATAAGCACTGGAACATCTATTCTCCCTTTTCTATCTCAGTGCCCTGAAGTGCATCTCTCTTCCCTTCCTGTATTTCCTTATCTTAGTTTTTCAAGAACAAAACTAGGTTTCGACCCAGTCCACTACCTGTTTTCTCTACCCCATAATCCATCCTGTTATCTGCTGACTCTCTTTATTAATGTCTTAAAGTGTCTGTCACTTCTCTCCATCCCTGATGCCATCAGGCTAGTTTCCTTTGTTACTGCAGCAATCTCCTAACTTTTCTCCCGGTCTCCAGTTTGGTCCCCCATCCAGTCCATCCTGCAAGCTGCTGCAAGAGTGATTTTTCTCTCTTCAAAGACAAATGACACTGCCCCACTGGTTACAACCCCTCAATGGGCACCCGATCTACATCAGCTGAGAGTTCAGACCCTCTTCTTGTGGCTTAAGCACCCCCTGTGATCTGGTTCCCACTTACCTGTCCATTCTTATTATTACCCCTACTCTGAATTCCACCCACTTAAACTTCCAGAGAGTACCACATGCTCCCAAGACACCTCCAGAAGGCAAAGCATCTCCCTCCTCTGTGATACCACAGCAGCCTGGTTCTACTCATTGCTCTTCATGGAAACCCCCCTGTATAATGCTTATCAGACTGTTTCTAACAATGTGATATTGAGCATAATAAAATTTTCCATAAGTAGAGAAATGAATAAATATGTGTAGTTCATTTCTAGCACTGTAATATTAATAGCAATTAAAGTGAATGGACCAAAATCTCATATCTCAAAAACATAATTTGAGGGTAAATAGTGGCAGAAGAATATAAATGGCAGTATGCCATTTATGTATATAAATTTAAAAAACCACAAAACAATAATACACAAGTCCAAAAAAATGGATGGAAATGATATAGGAAAGGAATGAAAAGGTTTTAATCATATATTAACATTTCATTTCCTTTCTAAAAGGGTTATCTGAATTAAATATGACAAAATGCTAATATATATTAAATCTGAGCCATGTATGCGGTATTTATAATATTATTTTGTGATTTCACAATAAAATATTTTAAGTACGTTTCTTAAGGGAAATTTCCCATTTAGTATCTGCCTCAGCCCTGAGCCCATGGCCTTGTTGAGGACAGGGATGAGTCTGACCCATCACTGTACCCTCAGGCATGTAGCATAGTGCCAAGTGCTGAAAAAATAGTTGCTGCATCAACACATAATCTACCATCACCCAATCAGGCTTGATACTGGATTTCTGTGTCCCTTTGAGATTTCCATCTGGCTCCTTACAGCAGCTGTATAACTGGCTCATAACACACCCTGCAGGCTGTGCTTGGAACTGCCTCCACCCCAGTACTACAGATGACACTCCAGGACACCTCGTCCTCAGGAAGACCAGTTCTGTCCTTCCACATATTTCCCTGGGTGCCAGTTGCATGGCGATGAGATGAAGCTGCAAGCCTCCTGAAGCCTCCAGTCTTGCTTCAGCAGATTTTCCAGAAAATGAGCTTTACCAGAGGACCAGAGTTCATGAGAAATGGCAGGTGAGGAAATTACAATGGAAGTCTTTTAGACTTACACTCTTTGATAAATAAGTAGGTAAGTGTTAGCATGACCGTGTGGCCGCTGTACAGATAGTCCCCACACATGTTGTGAGAGCCAGTGATAGACAAGCCACCTCCAGCAATGAGCTTCATTATTCTTCGCAGTTGGGCTTCCCAGTCTCCGAAAAGCTGGCAGAAAAAAAGAAAAGAAGAAAAAGAAGATTCATTACGAGCCCACATGAAAATGTGCGAAGATTACTATTCATATCCAGAATTAAGCTTATATTAAGAAACATAAAATCCCCACCAGGAAGTTTGCCCACTCAGTGTTTACCATTCCAAGAGTAGCCCTTGGGGCGGGGGGGTGGGATGGTCCTACAAATGAATCACGTGGCTTCAGGACTTTTCACAGTTAGCACTTTTTAAAGCACGTGTCAGTAGATGTTTCCCCAGTTTTTCAAAAATTACAATGACAGAGAAACAGTACTTCTATCTGACTGACTGAATAATTGCTTTAGTATAACTATCATTTGGGAAAAATAAAATTTAAATCTGTAGTCTAGGAAAAATTTAAAGATGTATTTTTATCATGGTTGGCCTAGAAGACAACTGTCCTACTACACTTGGCTAAAGCAGCTGAAGGTTTGGGTAGTCAAATATATGAATATTTTTGGTATGTGGATGTTCAGGGATCATGTTGAAACAAGGGATGTGCCTTTAATCTTCTCAAATTATGTAGGTAACATTGAATAATTTTCCAGATTATAAATTAATTTACCTGTCTATGATACAAGTCTGGGCTGGACACCGGAGTAATAAATAGCTTGAACAACTCATTCATTACAACCTTTATTTGCTCGGTCAAGTAAAATGTGTAACTGTCTATATTTTATGCTTGTTAGTACTCTTTTAAATTCTGGTTGTCTAATTTAATTACCATGATCCAATTTAATTAAATTCTGGTTGTCCAATTTAATTACCATGATTTCAATATTTAACTTATAAGAATCTAGCTTTGGGCAACATGTTTTATTATAATTTCCTTTTAAAAAATTATCAAGACTTCTGATTAAGGATGGAAGGATGATACATCAGTGAAGTGTGAGAAATTAAAAAAAAAAAAAAAAAAGAATGGCAGATGGAGCACACCACACAGAGGATATAAATTTCCAAATCCAAAGAGATCACTGAATGCTCAACATAATGGAAGAAAACAGATCTACATATCAAGACTCAGCATCATGGGATTTTAGAATCTGGGGACTAAGAAGAGACTCTAAAGCCTCCAGAGATTAAAAACAAGCTTTACATGAAGGATCATTAGAATAAGACTTTTCAAAAGCCACACTGAAAAACAGAAAGCTTTGAGAAAATGCCTTTAGATTTTGTGGGAAAATGATTTCCCACTTAGAATTCTGTACCCAGCCATATTACTACTAAGCATAAACTGAAGGATAAACTAAGGATAAATTAAAGCCTTTTTCATATATACACGATTTAAAAATATTTACCGCTTATATACTCTTTTCCAGGAATCACAGAGGGTACAGTCTCCAAAACAAGGGAGTAAACATGGAGAAAAGAAGAAATGGGACTCACTACGATGCCAAAAAAGGAGAGATGAAGGACTTCACAGTAGCTCACAAGTTTGGGCTGGAAAGCAAACAGCCAGAATGCTCTGGAGGGATGTCATCATGGAGATGAGCCCAACAGAATACCCAATGCCTCTGGCTGTATTGAGAGGAGTTTCATAACTTGGGGGTGAGTAAGTGCAAAGAAAACTACTAAAGCAAAAAACCAAGGCAATTACTAACTCTACAGGAAACAAAATGTTGTGCAGAGAAGGAAAGTAATTCTAGGAAACGACATGACTTGGCCATGAATAGCATTTACAGAACTGTAATAATGTAAGCACTGCATATTGAGCTAAACGAAGGACAAAGAACTGCACAGCAAAGACAGGATAGGAAACTTGAACGTGTGTAGTGGAGATGGGGTCGGAGGGTAGGGATCATGAAGGAGGAGTCACAGACGGACACTAAAGCTTTGCCTTCTACAGCAGAAGTCAGTAACGGTGAATGCCTATATTCAAAAATTACAGAGTAACAATATCTCATGTCACGTGGAGACACAAAAGTAAACACATTAAAAAATCTAAAAAAAAGAGTGAATGACAAAGAGTTAAATACCACAAGGTTCAGCTAAAAGAGTTGAAGGAGAATAGGAAAAGGCGCTGTTGGGGTCAGGACCAGGAGACTACTGTTTTTTCACATCGAGTTGTGTAGAACCATTTTAGTTTTCAAATTGCATGCCTGCATAAACATTATAATTTTTTTTAAAGTTTCAAATTAAAAGTTTGGTCCAGTTCTGTTATAACAATGGATAAAATGTAGAAGAAAATTATGGCAAAAAAGCTTGGGTATTTCTTCATTTTACATTATTTCATAATGCTTTTCTAAAATTCCCTCTGTGTTTTAAAAATGATAAATCATATTCTCAAGGCAGCATCACCCATACTTTGTCCTCTCATTTGAGCAAGAAAATCTTTGTGGTGAAACAATGTGTTTGGGCAGAAAGGAGAAATTATGAAGTAAACCTGGCACTGAGGAAAAAGGCAAAAATTTAATGCTGTATTTCTTACAGGTACCCTTAGAGACCCTAAGCTTCCTTTTCAAAATATCTTCCTATGTTTATCAAACTTCTGCAAAGGGAAAACCTCTTTAAGCTTAGTGAGAAATAGAAAAAGAGAAAGAAAAATTTAAATTATGTTTAAAAAAAGCAAACAAAATACAAGACAAATTACAAAACAGTTGCAGCAGAAACAAGTTAATATCTATATTGTTTACATAGCACAGAGAAATCAAGTAAAATAAGACCAACTTAGGAAACAAAACTTATCAAAGGACAAGGGATGTGACCACATAGAGGCATAAATTCTGTCAAACAAATATAAATAAAAATGAACATAACAGGAGCTCATTTTCCCATGTTGAATTAGCAAAGCTTAAAAGAAAAAAGAGTGAGCTAATGGTGAGGCAAGCACAAGGACGGCGAGGCTTGTTTAAATGGAGGGGATGGGGGGAAGCAGTGGCTGTCTCCAAAGTAGTGCAGGGGAAGAGCAGGCCACGAAACAGATATCTGCGGGTAAAATCACAGCTCTTCGAATGATTTGCTGTGTGACCTTATACAGCTGAACCATTCTAAGCCTCGATTTCCTCATCTACAATTTGGGAAGAATATATTTATTATCACTGGCAAAATCTTCTGAGAAAATAATCACCAATAGTTTACCAGCAATTTAAACAGTCATAACTTCTGACCCAGTCACATTGCTTCTAGGAGTCTACCTCAAAGAAATAATACCAAATATGAAGAAAAGTTCTATGTGCAAAAATATCCCACTGTAACACTAATCACAAAAGCAACAGGCTGGGCGTGATGGCTCATTTCTGTAATCTCAGCACTTTGGGAGGGTCGCTTGAAGCCAGGAGTTTGGGACCAGCCTGGGCAACATGGCGAGACTGTCTGTACAAAAAATGTAAAAGTAAGCTGGATGTGGTGGCATGTGCCTGTAGTCCCAGCTACTTGGAAGGCTAAGGTGGGAGGATCCTTTGAGCCTAGGAGTTCAAGGCTACAGTGAGCTACAATCATACCGCTGCACTTCAGCCTGGGCAACAAAGTGAGACCCTGTCTCTAAAAAAGAAAGCAAAAAACTGGAAACAACCTAAATGGGAACTGTTAAATAACTATTCAAAACCTGGTCTTTCTAGGGACAGTATTGGCAAGATGGGGTGCCTGCTGTAAATGCATTCTCAGGTCCCAAGGTAGACCAGTGAACCAGAATCTAAGGTAATTTAAATGCACATTAAGATTTGAGAAGCCCTGAACCAGCCTACAGCTGTTTACCAAATTATTTAAAAATAAGTTTACAGTGACTGTATAGTAAGTCTAGATTGTAAGCATATTCCTCTATTAAGAGAAAAAAACAGGAAACACAATGTTTGGTATAATTATAACTGTTTTACAAACACTATGTGCAGAAAAAGTCTAGAATGTAACATATTAAATGTTAACAGGGTTAGCTTGGAAATTGGTAGGCTTTCTTCCACTCTCTGTCCTGGTGTGGCTTCCCTTCCTTTCCTTTGGCCAGAAAGAGAGGGATTCCCTTGGAGCTCTGTCTGCACCCAGAGTGCAATTCTGGGATGTGCACTGCCTTTGAAATCAGGCAGGAAATGTGAATGGAAAAAAGAAAAGAAAAGAACAAAATGAAACAGGAAACTCTGGACTGGGTCTTTCATACCTTGCATTTTGGTTTCCTTCCTCCATCTGCCCACTATCATTTGCTTTTGATTCCTCAAATAGCTGATCCATATATTCTGCCCAGTGTTTTTTGGCTGCATTCAGTGTGAAAGAAAGATGGAGTGTGCTTACTCCATTATAACTGGAATTGAAACCTTGCCTATCAGTAGCTTTTGAATGTCTATTTTTGAAAGCAGAGATAATTTAAGGGAGACATAAAAACTTTCAGTGGATACTACAAAGCTGTGACAAGAAAGTCTCATATCTACACCACTATGTGCATTATGGTTTCCCAGGGTCACAGAAAACCAATAACCAGTAAAAACAGGCAATATTCTTCAAATTCTAATGAACTACCAAGAAATTAGGTAAATTGGCCAAATCACTTACACAATACCAAAGCACAGAAAAAAAGAGCAGAAGGAAGAGGGAAAGGCTTTTGAATGAGACACACTATCAGGTACATTTAGAACCAGTGAGCCTTTGGTTATGAAAGACACAGGTTTCCCAGTATTTTTTCAGTGCTAACATAATGTACTGATGACAGTCAGTTTGCCATCATTCAGTTTGCAGATGGCTTAGAGCACTGGCTTTTTCTAACTACATTTGCAGAGCAGGGGCACTGACTGTACTTCAGCCCCATTAGGAGGAAGGGGGTAACCTAGAACTAAAACCCATCAAATAATGCTGCACAAATTAATGGCTTTCATAGCTTTGACAGCTTTGGTATAGCTTTGTTGAAGAGCTGAAAGTGAGTACTAAGGAGCAGAAATGCGATTTAAAATAAGCATTGACAATCGCTAATGCTGCAGCCTAGAGCAGCCCAGGAAAGTCAGCAAGGCAGACCCTATCTGCTGTAGGTCTCCAGTGTTGGAGCCGAGCCTAGAATCCAAGTCCTCTGACTATTTAAATGTGCTATTTACAAAACTATATGCTGCCTTGTGCACAGCTTGGCCCTCACAAGCTTGGATAAACCAGGAACTTGATACATACAAAGGAACTTTTCCTTCAGCAGCCTAGGTACCTTGCAGAAGTAATATTATACTATTCCAACTACCATGAACAGCCAGACATTTTCTCAAAGTCCCTCTCTCCCTCCTATTAAGGTAAATTATTTTGTTCTGTTCCCAAAGAGCAGTCTTCCTCCAGAATAGAAAATTCATTATCATCCACAAAATGCTAAAAAGGCTGCTGTTAAAACACTCAGACCAAAGACCAAATCCAATACACGAATCAAGTAACAGGATCAGGAGGAGGAATGGTAGAATCCTCATCAATCTGCATCTTCAGCAGCCTGCAACTGAGAAACACACCTTACACACTGTGGTGTCCCTCAACATCAACTTCCCAAGTGGCCCAAAACAGCAAAACTATGCCACTTCCCCAATTTCAACTGGCATGTAACAGCCCTCCTAACCGTGACACTTAGAACTAGTGAGCTTTTGGCTATGAAAAAAGAGGTTTCCCCAAGTATTTTTCAATGCTAACACCATGTGCTCATGAACAGAAAATTCATTTCATCCATGAAATGCCAAAAATGCTGCTCTTAAACACTCAAATCAAAGACCAGATCTGATAAAGGAATCAAGCAGCAGAATTATTGTAAGTTATGAAATGTCCTTTAGCCTGACTTTGTAGTCCCCACCAGGAAGGTAATGTGTTTGAAAGTGTGATGAATGCTTTAGATTTCAAAGCAGCAATGAAGAGGCTCAAAGCTGCCTCTTACAATTTCTCCGGCCTTATTTTACTGTTGGTCAGTAAAAACATGACTTACAGGGTAGTTTTACAAAATAAAACAATATCTTTTGTTTGTACACAGATTCCAACATTTTAGCAGTGTTTTCCCATCAGTTATCTCACTGTATCTTCACAAGCTTGTCAGTTGGTGAGCGTAGTTGTTACTATGCCCATTTAAAAGAGTGGCTTACCGACCAGTACATGAGGTCACACAGAGTGACTCAGTTGGGTTCAGAGCCCAAATGTCTTACCTCTGAGCTAAACAATCTTGCCTTTAGGTCCCTGGAAAACACCTGCTATTGTTGCAAACACCTTTCCAAATAACAAGGACAATACCCAAGGCTGGACAATTTCTCCAGGTTTACTTTTTGTTGTTCTTGTTGTTGTTCTAATGAAATTTAACCAATTTTAAATATGTCATTTATTAATACACGATTGAATAGCTAAAACAACATTTATTCACTATTCACTAACTATTTTTCGTAAGCTTAGTTTTTATTTAAATCAAGCTCCCCTGTCTCTATAAAAGTTATTTCTTTCTTTTTTTTTTTTTTTTTTAGACAGTCTCACTCTCTTGAGAGCCCCGGCTGGAGTGCAATGGCACAATCTCGGCTCACTGCAACCTCCACCTCCTGGGTTCAAGCAATTCTCCTGCCTCAGCCTCCCAAGTAGCTGGGATTATAGGTGCATGCCGCCACACCCGGCTAATTTTTTGTATTTTAGTAGAGACAGGGTTTCACTGTGTTGCCCAGGCTGGTCTCAAACTCCTGAGCTCAGGCAATGTCCACCGCCTTGGGCCTCCCAAAGTGCTAGGATTACAGGCGTGAGCCAACTTGCCCGGCCTATAAAAATCATTTCTGTGGAATTCTTTCACAAACCAATTGCCCATTTTCTGCCTTCTCTCTTCTTAAACAAAGCATTCCCAATTGATTTTAACTTTCCTTGCTTTATATTGTGCTATACTGGTCTCCAAGCTCACTTTTATAGGAACAACAATGAGCATGAATCCAACTTCAAACTGCAGTTTTGGGCTACCATGCAGGTGGCTCTAGACAAACCATTTTACCATCCTAGCCTCAGTTTTCTCACCTGTAAAATGGCAAGAACATTTTCTCATCCTCAACCTCTACCCACCAAAGCAAGACAATGTTTATAAAAGTGATTGCTAAAATAAAGTGTTATACAAATTTCAGGCAGCATTACTTAACAATCCAAGTTAGGTCCATCTTTTGGGGGGTTCTTAAGGGAGAACTCAATGCCTAACAGTCAGCAAGTGAAATCTGGATGATTCTCCTTAAATATAGATCCCTGCCGGACGCTCACTGGTGGCCATCTCTTGATCACTCAAGAGACTTTTATGTGTTCTCTATACATATAGTAATCACTCCACTCCTGGAAAGATGTGGTTTTTACTCACAAATATTATGCCCACCACAACTGATCTAAAGGACAAGAGATTTTACTCCTCTTAGAATTCATACATACAACTTTTAAAATAGACTTTTCCCTTCACTCGGCTGTGAAGAATCTGGCTGTCTACATTTCTCCATTCTCAAATGTACTCATCAATTCCTATACTAGGCAGACTTGTTTTAGGGATAGGGGGTGTCTCTAAGCAATTATCAGCAATAAAACACTAATCTCCCACCAGCCCCTCCTTCCCTCCATCAAAAAAAACTTTTAAATTTTGTTGTAGTCTCTAACCGGAAGACTTATCAAAGGCTTGATAAAATCTTAAATAAAGGTCAGCTATGGATTTCTATTACCCATATTCTTATTTGTCACATTAAAGAAATCCAGCATTTCAGTCAGGCAAGATTTCCCTTTAACAAAATCACATCTCCTTTAAGTGTTGGAGGATCCTTCAGTCTACCTGGTCAGGAAGTGAGATTTGCCACCAAAAAAAAAAAAAAAAAAAATTGCCCTTGGCTTTTTAGTTTGAAAAATTATAAATGTGAAAAAGTAGCAAGTGAGCACCTGTAGACACTTCATTTTGGCTCATTAATTATCAAGATTGTATCACATTTTCTTCTCCTTTCTCTCACTTTTTTTCCTGGGTCCCTTGGGAAGAAGTCGAATAAATTAAAACACCTCACATCTAAACACAGTAACAAGGGCATTCTCTTCTAAAATCACACTTATGAAATTTAACAATTATATAATACTACCATACTTAAAAAACAGTCCATATTCAAACTACTCGATAGTGTCAACAATGTCCTTTAGAGCTTCTTTCCCCAGTCTAGGTTCCAATCAGAGAATACACATTGAGGTTACTTATCATGCCCTGATTTCTTCTTAGTCTACTACAGTTTGTCAGTCTTTTTTTCCCCATGACACTGAAGAGTCCAATCCAGTTTCTTTATAGAATATTGCTTGATTTGGTTTTATCTGAATGTTGCCTTCTGTTTAAATCCAGCTTAAACACTGTTGGCAGGAGTATTCCCGAGATGATGCTGTATCCCTCTCAGTGCATCACATTCAGAAGCACCTGATGTCATTTGTCCTTCTACTGGTTTGTTCACTTGACTATGCGAGTGTCTACTGTATTTCTCCACTAAATACATACCTTTGCCCCTTTATAATTAATAAGCAATCTGTTATTTTTTAAAATTATGTAAATATTATGATCGCCAACCTTTCACACAAGGGCCTTAGCATCCAGTGATGATTCTAAATTATAATACTTGAATTATTACTGTAGTGGTTGCAAAATAGTAATTTTTTATTTCTAAAATTTCTCTTATTAGTTTTATGATTAGTAACTATATATTAGTTATTTAGAGTCATACATGGTTAGCTCTGAGGTTTTTTAGAATTCCCCAGTGAATGCTTTCTGACTCTGGTTACCTCTTCATACCAGATGGCTTCTGCCATGTGGATCATCTTTCTCACCTTCCCAATGCCTCCCAAACATGTCCCCCACTCTGCCCTGGTCTAGGCCTTCCTCATCTCTAATTCAGAAATCCATGCAGAAGCATCATCCGTCTCCCTCACGTGAGTACCAAGAACAGATACTTGGCTAGTCTTCTTGCCTTTGCCACTCAGTACCTATAAGACATTAGGCTGGTCACATAACTCTGAACCAACTGCAATTTTATCCCACTCACTGTTATAAAAATTAAATAAAAACACAACATTTGAATTCGTATCTGGCACAAAACAGGTGCATATAATTTGATACTACTTAAGTCTACTTCCCTCCTTCCCTCCCAAATACCCTACTATCTCTATCAATGGAGAGAGATGCTTCTAAAGACAGATGTGATCAAATAATGCCCCTGCTAAAACTTTTCCTGGCTTCCTATTGCCTATAGATAGAACCACGACTCCTTAGTTGGGTGTCAAGGCCCTTTAAAATCTTCCCACAAGATTGACTGCCTGTCTGGAGTCATCTCTGGCCACTTGCTCCATAAGATCCCATGTCCAGATACATCTAACTTGACCTTATTCCCCAATTCCCTTCCATACCCGTTGTTTCCTCCACCTGGAACCCTTCCTCCCTCTATCTCCACTTGGCAAACTCCTATTCCTCCTTTGAGATTGGGCTCAGAGGCACATCCACAGGGCAGCTCATGCTCCCAGCAGAGGTGCCTCCGGTGTCTGTGCATCCATGGCAAATGGCTCTGCAAATCTACTACAGGGAGTCAGAGGGGGATCTGGGGATTACATTTCTGTCTCTTTCACAGCTTCTGGATGCCCAGAGGGAGAAGGCGCTTGTCTTATATATTGTGTGTCCTCAAAATTTACCAGTATGCCCACATAGGGCAGGTTCTCTAGAAACGTTGCTCAGGAAATAAACAAGCTTCTTGACTATCAAATGAAATCACATCAACAATCTGCCTGTCTCACATTCTGGGAAAGTGGTTTCTTCCTTTTAGTAAGAAAGCCTTTAGAAAGGCTAGAGTTTATACAATAATGTAAAAATTCATACATCAAATGTTAAATATAAGGAGATATGAATAATAAATGCATAGACAGCACCATCAGAATCATGTAAAAAATGCATACATAAGGAACTAATATACTGAATTGTTAATAGTAGATAGGGTCATGAGTGGTTCTAAAATCTTCCTCTTTTTGTAGTCTTTCAATATATCTTTAAAGAATGTATGGTTTATTTAAAATGAAAACATCTCTTTTTAAGTGACAGAGAGAAGTTATTTAGAACATTGCTATCTTTAATCACTGAAAAAGGAAGAGAACAGCAGCAATGAGAGAAAAGGAAAAGCAAAGAACAGATTTAGGATGGGAAACGTTACTGGAAAGTATATGCAAGAAGCAGAAAAAAAAGAATTGAGAACAAACGAAAAGGAAAATTTTAATGACAATCAGAAACTGGAAGACCAGCAGAAAATTATCCAAAATCAAGCATTGACAATTTAAGTTGCACACCATCCAACAGGATGGCAGGAAGTTATTTTGGTAATGGAACACAAGCCATATCCTGAAATACTGATAAGGTTAGCAGGAGCTAATCAGAATATCAAACTTTGTCAGTGTAGAGGGCACCTGGAATACTCTAACTGCTACTCAGGAAAGTAAGAAAGAACTGAAGAAGGCCATAACATCCTAAAGAGCAATGAGTCTGTTGCCTTATAAGACTGAACTTGTGCCAGCATAGGGACCCGTTAGGCTGATGGTTGACATTACAGTTCAGCAGCAAGTCAAAGGAGGTGGTTTCATCTTTCTAATCTGTGCATTGCAGAAAAGCTGACAGTGGCAGAGAAGAATATGAAGGCTGTTCTGCTGTTGCATTTGTATTATATTGATCCACTGAGCGATCAACCTCAGATGCCACCCAGACATAACCCTGTCCAAAAATGGGCTGTGTTCACTTATGTCAGAGGCAAAAATTAAAACAAAACAAAACATGTTTTTCAAGTTCAAGAGAATCATTTCACTGAAAACTCCACATTGGATTAATGCACTAGCCAGCTGAGTGTCCCTGTCTTAATGTACTCTCTCTCTTCTCAAAGGTTTTCAAATCTAAGGTCACCATGGAGACCACAAAACACGCCCAAACATGCATCTCATTTTACTGTTTAGTCACTATTAGATTAACTCATCTGATTATGAAAATGAGAGTCGAAAACAGTGCAAGTTATTTCTTCTCTTCTATTAGCATTAGGCTGCCTGTTTATCTGGGATTTTTTATTTTAAGGAGTTTGTTAAAACAGGAAAAACCTTACCAACGGGAAGCTTACAACACCAAAGAATTCTCAAATATTCTGCCCCTTTTCTAAAGAAACCAGTATCATAAACAGTTGTAAAAAGATGAGAAGAGGGGCCGGGCGCGGTGGCTCACGCCTGTAATCCCAGCACTTTGGGAGGCCGAGGCGGGTGGATCATGAGGTCAGGAGATCGAGACCATCCTGGCTAACAAGGTGAAACCCCGTCTCTACTAAAAATACAAAAAATTAGCCGGGCGCGGTGGCGGGCGCCTGTAGTCCCAGCTACTCGGGAGGCTGAGGCAGGAGAATGGCGTGAACCCGGGAAGCGGAGCTTGCAGTGAGCCGAGATTGCGCCACTGCAGTCCGCAGTCCGGCCTGGGCGACAGAGCGAGACTCCGTCTCAAAAAAAAAAAAAAAAAAAAAAAAAGATGAGAAGAGGTTGTTTTCAGGATGGAACACACGGTCTTTGGAGCTATGATGAGAGTAACATGGGCTAATCAAGGTATCAAAAATTTGGCAGCCTCCAGTGTAAGCCATGCACATGTATACCACCATGGGATATGCCAGAAATTTGCAATCTAGAAACTGAACACATCCACTTCCCTTTTCACTTCCTTTTCCCAGTGGCTTATTATTGCTGCAGAAACATTTATGGGAAGCCTACTTTTCCTCACAGCCTGATCATCTCATAGGATTATTATTTCTCTGAGCGATTATATTTTGTGAAGAGTATACTGCCATCGAGTGAATGAACAATAAGACCAATTTTTATAATCACTACTGTATACTTGTTGAAACATTTTTCTTAGGAGCTGCACATTTTGAGTACTGGCATTAAGGGAAGCATTAAGTACACTAATTACAGCATTTTAATGGCATAGTGAAACCAAGTTTAAGTTCACATGACTGTATTAAGCAGGAAGTCATATTCTAAAGCTCAACTCTCCTCCCTTACAGTTTAGTGATATTGAGTAACTGTCAGAGTATCCACCAAGTGACAGGCCTTAATTGGTATCTCAAATAATAGAATATCCAATTCTGGAAGCACTGTGCTTTCTGTAACTTGTTTCTGGGCCTTTTCATCCATATCCACAGCTTTAACCACCATCCAGAATATGATGATTCACAAATATTTATTTTCCAGCCTGATGTTTCCCTCAGCTTTAGACTATATTGCTAACTATCTTGGACATCACCACTTAGATATCTCACAGATACTTTAAACTCTGTGTTTAATCCAACTCATTAACTCTCATTTCCTCTATACCATGTCATTATACCAGTGTAAAATCCAGCCCTTGGAATCTTTCCCTATTCTCATTCCCTGCATGAAATCTATTATCAAGTTGTATCAATTTGGTCTCTTAAATATTGCTCAAGTCTGTTTCTTCCTCTCCATCCATCCTTAGGGCCAGTAGCTTAGCTTGAGGCCCTTATCACAGCATTTTACACATTTATTACATAAGTTACAAATTTAAACTAACAGATTTTAAGGTGTTTTCCACAAAGGTAGGAACTATATCTACCTTCCTCATGCCTCATACTCTAGCACCCAAAGCACAGTAGGTCCCTAATGTATGTTTGTTAAATCAGTTCTCACTGGATAAATAAGAGTCTAGGGGTTGAAGCATGATGACAATACTAAGTCCTCTTCTTACTTCTGTATAGTGCGTTACACCCACAGAGCCCCTAGAAACTGTCTCCTTCCACACCTATAACTCCTTAAGACAGATTTCAAAAAGCATCATTAGCTCTGCTTTGCCATTTAGGGAGGGAACTGAGGCTCTGAAAAGTTAAATGACTTGCCCAATGCTAGTAAGTGGTTGTGTAAGACTGTCTTAACCTTAACTTTAGTGTTCTTTTTACTATTAGGTAAGTTTGTATTTTTACAGGGGCAATTAAGTTCCCTCTCTGTACAATGGTTCAGAGAGAGATGGAAGATTCAGTGGCGATGATGTTCAGACATCAAATAGAACTTTGGCCTGAGTGACTTTTAATAAGGTTCCTCTCACTTCTGATTCCCTTAGCCCTAGGTATGATTCTAAAGTAGGCAAAGCTGTCCTCTGAGGCTTCTCTCCAGTGTCACCCTTTTCTGTCTTCAGATACTCGTTCTCAGTGGAGGATTCTAGCCCTTGCCTGACCACTGAATTTCTTAAGCTTGATCTGCCATCCAAGAGGCAGCACCAAGCCTTCGAAGCCTTTCCCAACTCTTGTGCCTAGCTTCAGAAGTCTTTCTATTCCACCTGGCAAATATTCTGTTAACAAGCTAAAATTGAATCTAATTAAGTCTGCAGAGCCAACTTTCTATTCAGAGGAAACATAGAGCGACACAAGTCACTTGACACCACAAAGAAACAAATGGATAAATCCAGAAAGTGGGATATTCTGTAGGACTATTAATCTAATGTCTACAGGCTACTGGTAGAGGGGTGAAAGGAAGAAAGGACTGCTTTAGAATTATAGACTTAAAAGACAGAACAAGTAAATGTAATATAAAGATTTTGGACCCTAATTTATACAAACCAACTGTAAAAAAAGGAAAAGCATTTTAAGACAATCAGGATATCGCATCAACTTGTAATTGCTGATATCACAGAATTACTATTAATTTTGTTGAACACCAATAGCATTATGGTTTTGTACTAAAATGTTCACAGTTTTTAGATGCGTACTAAAGTATGTGGAGGTGAAATGACGTTACCTGGGAGTTGTTTTAAATACTTCAAAAAGAAAAAAGAAAGGAAACAAATGTTGCAAATCTTGATAATTATTGAATCTGAGTGTTGGGTTTATGGGAGTTCCTTATAGCAGTTGGGATACATGTGAAAGTTTTCAGAATAAAAAAGTGTATTCTAAATCCTTTCTTCCAAGAGTCTTATTCTACAAAATTAGATTTTGTAGTAATTAGATTTAATGAGTTTTAACTAGTATTTTTTTCTAAGGTGTGCTAATATTTCACCTCCTACTGTTTAAGATTCTAGTTTCCAGAAGATCCTCATAGAATGAGGGCCCTAGTTGGGATTTCTGGCAACACAATAAATGAGCAACACGTTTGAGTTTGGCTTTTGTGAACAGTTCCTGCTGCTACTTCTGTGTTTACGAAGAAAACCCACAAGCTATTCTTAGGCAAAGAATTTTGGTTAGATATGTTGATGACTCAAGCTGACTATGTAAGAACCAATGGCTCACCAAGTATGGGCTTGCCAGCAACTGGCGGAGCTACAGTAGTCCTCAAGAAGAAACAAGTTTAGAACCAGAGTAGGGAGAAAGGCTACATGGTACGGCCCCTCAATACTGGATCCATCTTCAACATGTGCTTGGCCAGAACCTACATCTACCTACCCCTTGGTAGCAAAATTTCCCAATGCACAGACTTTTTTAAGGAGCTGAATTAAACTTAGGTGAATATCCTAAACTGTCAGTTTACTGCTGAGAACATGCTGCTTATCAAGCCAGGCTCCCAGCAAGAGTCCATATCCTTGGATTTTCAATGACAACAAGATATTCCCTATAACCCAGGAGCTACAGGTGAGTGCTTGAGAGCTTTTACAGACAATAAAAACGATGTGAAGCTGGCTTCTTTGGAAGGGCGAAAGAAACTGCAAGAAGGAGAGTGCAGGGAGGCAGGATGGCTGATAGAGAAGAGTGGAATGTTGAGAACATTGCTTTTGTATGACAGCTCTTCCAGAGGTAAGGAAGTAGTGTGTAGCAAAAAATAAAAAAAATTAAAAAAATTAAAAAATTAAAAAAAGCAAAAAGTTAAGTAAGAAATGAGCTATCTCTGTAGGCACATATGTAAGTTTAGCAAAGAAAAGAGCCACAGGAGACATACAAATTAAAGAGATCCAAAATTTCATATGATCAAATTAAAAATCCAGAGTGAATTTTTCAGCTCTCTTTCCAAAGATTCTATCAAAGAGAACATCTCTTCTGGAGGAACAAAAGTACAAAGCAATGAGACTGAAAGTGTTTGGCTGTTTCACCCACACAGGTATAATGCAAAGAAATGATCTCAAATACATCAGAGTATACTATATTTTCTCCCACCAAAAATCAAGGAGAGAAATTAGCCTCTTTTAAAAATTCATTAAAGAGCTTTAATGTACATAAATATTTTAACAATAAAATCTGCTAATTATTTCACAGAGTTCCAACGATCACCCTAGTTAAAAATTCTTCCAAGGTAAAGGTTAGGAGGTGAAGAGTGTCATTTGAATCTGATGGAAAGGTAGAGACAATAAGAGAGGAATAAAGTTTATTTTTAAAAAGACTTCTTTGTTACTAGAGAAAATCAATAAGGCAATATATTACCCCAGAGAACAGTGATCTTATTTGGCTTGGTTGAGGACTGCAAGGAAATAGGAATACTTTCTCTTCCTGGCTCTGCTGTAGGGATTAATAGAAAGAAGGAAAATGGAAAAAATGTCACTTGAAATCGAGCTCTCCCTCCGAGGGAGAGGAAGCATATAAAAGCTTCTGGATGCGTGTCAAAGAAATGAATGATATTTTAACAATTTGGCAGGAAACCAAAGAACTACACAAAGCTTAACTGCTTCCAACACACATTTCCCCAGTTGGGAGGCACTGGCAGGGCTTAGAGATTCTGGGAAGGGTGGGGCTGCCTGGCCATATCATTTAGTAACATTCTCAGATAGAGGAGTGACTCCACTGTATTCTGAAGAAACGTTTTCCTGCAACCTCACTCAAAGGACCCCAGGGCAAGACAAGAAACAAACAGAAAGCGAAATTACAGCGAGGAATAGTTTACCTTCGGAGAACAGTTGAAATGCATACCAGGTACTGGGAGTGTAGTTACATACATTGTAATACACCGATACAGGTACAGCGTGCCAACTATGCAGAAAAATCTTCTGCTAATAATAGACCTAGAAAAAGGGAAAAACAGGGCAGATTCTCAGTCAAGAAATTCTGTAGGTTCATTTACTGTAATTTTTCAATGACTCAATAAAAACAAACCCCAAAAACTACTTGAGAACTTGAAACCAGAATGTTGTAACTATGGCTAATACCAGATTAAGACAAAGATTTTGAGAATAACGTTGTGTGGTGCTTTTTAAAAAATATATTAACTGGCCAAAAGTGCTTAAACTGGTTTATATTGCTATTAATTAGGCTTCATGAGGCCTTAAACTTGAGTTGACGTTCAACTGTCGGACATACAAGTGGAGCCCACGCTGATTGGCCAGAACCCACTCAGTATCTGTGGTTAAACATTTAGTGAGTATTTTTGCTGTCATCAAAGGAAGATCTTCAGAAAATCAGAATGATATTAGAATGAGAATTTAAAACTTTTATGCCATTTAATGAGTCAAAGACATTAAACAATTTTAGTTGTACATCCCAGAAACTGATTCTCTGAGGCAACATGATGCCAAGAACGAACCTATGGAAAAACAGCATTCAATCTCATCCCATTCCTTGACTACCACTGCAGCTTGGGATGCACATTTACTTCTCTGAATCTCAACTTCCTAAGAAGTAAAATAGGGGTAACAACATTAGAAATGATGTCTGAAAAATTCCTACCATATAGTAGGTACAAATGGTAGGTATCAAATGTATAGATTAAGTAGATGAATAAAAATATAAGCAAAAATTAGAAATAGTTTTATTATTATTAGGTTCTAACAAAATTATTTGATATATACATGTAGGTTTGTATCTATCTATATACATACACATGTATATTGAGTTAGATAACGTCTCCTAATATAAAAATTCCATGTAAGTTTGTTCAACTTAACCTCATTAAAGTCTGGTGTATTTTTGAACAAGAACATTCTTTCCCTCTCTACCTCTCTCTTGTAGTACCACAGGCCAGAATCATGTGAGTAACCCTGTGGGTCTCCTCTTCCTTAACCTTGTGAGGAGTTCAGATTTTCCCAAACAAGGAAAATTTAGAAACAGTGGGCAGGTGTTCCTCTTAGGATCTTGGCCATTCAATCATTATAATCATACAGTGTAGCTCCAGTCTTATGCAGGATGGGCATACCTACTGAGGTGTACTAGCCAGAGGAAAATTTGTTTCATGTGTATTTTCTGTTTTAAAAAGAGAAACAAAGATATGTCACTTGTGTGATTAAAAATTAATTTTAAAAAACCATACAATTATACTAGCATTTTATCCACATCTGCACAGCCCATGTATGTTACTTAGGTTTTATGAGTAGAATTTGGGTGTTGGTCTCTTTACCTAGATTTAAGAAACTGGGTCAGAATTATTTACGATAGAAGCCATCTTTGCTTATTTTCTCTTAGTCAAGCTGCGTATGCCTCCTCCAGAGACATGAATTTATTCAGCATAAAGCTGTCTTGGCAATCTATATGCCTCTAATTTCAAGTAAAATACAAAGCACAATTAAATAATATAAAGAGGGACGATACTAGAGAAGAATACCAGCCTATAAATGTCTTTGCCAAGAACACCAAAAAAGAAATACCAAAGTAAATTCTACATTGTAAGACATAATGGTCATCTTTCTTTAAAAGAAAATGCCCTCCTTAGCCATCCTGCTAAAGTGAACAGAAATTATTTGCAATTTCACTTGAACTATACAAGAAACACCTAAGTCAGCACACTTTCAAGTCTAGATCTGCTGAACTCTTTAGAGGAAGAAAAATAAAATTATTGCTTTTGCTAAAGATTACTATCTTAAAATCACTTTGCCTGATTATTTTATGATGCACAAAAGGTACACATACTCACACACACACCACCCCAATAACTATTTCCATATTTCAAACTTGACTTACATGTAAGTACCAACAGAAGTGATTTCAGAATTATTTAAAAATCTAAGAATGAGGTATAAAAAGATGAGAAAAGACAAATACATAAAATTGTTTTAATTAAAATACTGAAGATTCAGTCACATTTACTATTTGACTTAAAGTGAAAGAGTCAAATGACTTTGAAAACTGAAATTTGACCATTTCCATGTGAAACTGTCAATGTTAACAATAAGGTGACAAGTTAGAAGTGGTTGTTTTTAAGAATTTTCTGCTCTTTGGCATTTAATATTTTTGAAATTAAGCTTAGAATGTCTTTGGCGTATAATGTTAAACAAGGATTTTCTACAACAAACTTTAACAGAGGATAAAAGTGTTTCAAGAAATTGTATGCACTTCTGGGCGTTCACTTCCTTAATCAAAGAATTTCATACACTTAGAATTCTTATTCACTTAAAGGTTTAAAAGTTCAAGATGTGCTTTACAAAAACTCACAAAAGAAATGTTAATGAGATATTGCTAGAAATTAAGCAGATGCCAACAAGAAGATGTACAGTACAATTTTCAAAATCACAACGGTGCTCCCCTCACATGGGATACACCTCTCCTTCCACATTCAAAAGAAGCCAGTTTCCCATCTGCACACACTTGGCAAGGACTATCATTTCAGAGTCTTGTGTTTGGTCGCGTTTATCTATTTTTCTCCCAAGTGTTAGAGCACTAGGCTCATTATTACTTTTTCTGAGAGAAAAGGAAAATGTATCTGTTCAATTTGATTATAAGGAAATATGAATAAAAGTGTTAACATTTTATAGATCATTATTAAGACTTACTAGAATAGCATGTTATGTCAAGTACATGCTAGTATTTTATTAAGCTTTTTTATATTCCTAATTTTTAAAAACATTGCTCAGAACTTGACTAAATACTACCAGCACTAGAGTGTTTTTGGCATTTGGTACAATGATCTAAAATTCTGAAGAAAGGTCAGGCATGGTGACTCACGCCTGTAATCCCAGCACTTTGGGAGGCTGAGGCAGGTGGATCACTTGAGCCCAGGAGTTCAAGATCAGCCTGGACAACATAGCGCAACCCTGTCTCTACTAAAAAACAAAACAAAACAAAACAAAACAAACAAACAAAAAAACATTAGCTGGACATGGTGGCATGCGCCTGTAGTTCCAGCTACTCTGGAGGCTGCAGTGGGAGGATCGCCGGAGCCTGGGAGTTAGAGGCTACAGTGAGTTATGACTGTGCCACTGCACTCCAGTCTGGGTGACAGAGTCAGACCTGTCCCTAAATAAATAAATAAATGAAAAGGGGTTAAAAAAAATTACTATAGTGGAAAGTAAAACTAAAATACTGGAAAAAGTTTGTTTTCCCATGAGTTGTCTCTTTCAACTAATCCACAGTAGGAAGACATACACAGCTCTTTCAGTGCCCAGACCTGGCCTCCTAGCTCTTTCTGGAAGCTATTAGCTTTTAGAGATAAATAGGACTTGACAATGGTGCAGTGGAACTAAGCAACAATTCAAAACTAAGAGGCAATACACAAGGGAGAGCACATGTAACTAACACAGAATTGGGAGACTCAAATCTCTGGAGCAGTTATGGAAGAGTAATGATTCAGGTCTCTGATTAGTGATTCCAGCTGTAAAACATGAACGGACAGACAATACATCACTGAGCTGTATCTTTACATAGATGCTAGTTTTACCTTTAACAAAGGCTCACCTGGTGCCTTTGACCATCTCAATTAATTTCCTTAGAAATTAGCTTCCTCAACAGCAAAAGGAAGAAAAAGACATCACTTTCTTATGAATCAGAGAAATGGGTGACAAAAAAACTGGAAAGGCCATGAAATAGCACTAAGAATGGGCATCAGAATAGTCATATTTTTCTTAATATATAAGGTTGAAAAATGAAATAATTTTGTTTAGAGCCAACGACCACACTACTAAAAAACAAAGTTTCTATTGAGGTATTTCCCCAGGCATGGTATTACCAACAGCAATTGTTTTGCCAAAGTTCTCTTATATACCAAGCTCTGTGTCATTTACTTCTTAAGACCACCTGGCAATGCATGGATATGATCCTTATTTTACAGATGGGAAAAGTGAGGTTTAGAGAGTTTAAGCTGAAATATAAACAAAACAAAAATATTCAGGAAACTGCATCACATTGTGTAAGAAATCTGAATTTTGAGTATTTACAGCTGAGCCAACATCCCATCCCATTTCAGCCACATTTCAAAATCTACTTAATGACTATATTAGTAAAGTACTGAAAAAATTATTCTAGTATCACATAGCTATCTAAAATTACATGTGTCCATTTTTCATTATTTTTTGTAGTCTTGTGCCCAGTTAGATTTGCTTATTACCACCTCGTATGTTAAATCAGTCATCCTGAAATGTCATCCATTTCTCAACACTCTATCTCACCTGAACATCCACAGTAACCTTCTTTCTACCTGTTGTCCTTAACACCACTCTTGCCTCCTGCTATGGTCTGAATGTTTGTGTCTCCTTCCCCTCAAATTCCTATGTTGAAACCTAATCACCAGTGATTAGATCACAAGGGCAGGGTCCTCAGGTCTGAATTAGTGCCCTTATAAAATAGACAATAGAGGTGGGCTCACCCTTCTGAAATGTGAGGACACAGGGAGAAAGCGCTATTTATGAACCAGGAACTTGGCCCTCACTAGATACTAATCAGCCTGCACCTTGAGCTTGGACTTCCAGCATCCAGAATGCTGTAACTCACCCAGTCTACGATATTTTGTTATTGCAGCCTGAACAGACTAAGGTAGCTTCCTAAAATCCATTCTGTTTAGAACCGCCAGAATCATCTATTTTGAAACAGTTAAACAGGTATGTCCCTTAAAGCCCTCCAATGGTTGTCAAACTCATTTTAATAAAATCCAAATCTTTTCCCAAGACCCTGAGGCCCTATATCTGGCTACCTCCCTCTAGCCTGCCCTCTGGCCACCCTCCCTATCATTCTCCAGGCTCTATCTCAGCCCAATGACCTTGGGGCTCTTTGAACACAGCTTGCGAAGTCCCTCCTGCCTTGAGTAGGATCTCTGAGCCAGCCATTCTCTCTGCCTGGATTCTGCCTTCTCCTGGGACACTTGCCTGTCACTGACATTCCATTCAAATGTCATCTCTCAGAGAGGTCCCCTACTCTAAGGAAGCCCCTGCTCCTCTCTATCCTATCCTTCTATTTTAATTTCTTTACAGCCCTCCTGACAACATTCTGCACCCCCACATTCCCATATTCTGTGGAAGCTAACTAACTCCAAAGAAATTCTAAAACCTGTTTCCTTAATTCCTTGCTACAGCACCTGGATTCC
Source organism: Homo sapiens (assembly GCF_000001405.40). NCBI lineage: Eukaryota > Metazoa > Chordata > Mammalia > Primates > Hominidae > Homo > Homo sapiens. Next base: position 50,332,542 of record NC_000010.11, read on the forward strand.
CTGGATTGTGACAACTCCCCTCATAGCTTTCTTCAACTCCCTTCAACATGACATCTCCTTTTTTTAAGTCTTTTTTTTTTTTTTTTTTTTTTTTTTGGTGAGACAGGATCTTGCTCTGTCATCCAGGCTGGAGTGCAGTCGCATGATCATGGCTCACTGCAGTCTCCATCTCCCGGGCTCAAGCAATCCTCCTGCCTCAGCCTCCTGAGTATCTGGGATCACAGGTGCAGGCCACCATGGCTGGCTAATTTTTAAAAAATTTTCTGTAAAGACAGGGTCTTGCCATTTTGCCCAGGCTGGTCTTGCATTCCTGGGCTCAAATGATCCTCCTGCCTCCACCTCCTCTGTCTTCTCCTAGATGTGAATCCCACTGCCAAGGGCAAAAAGAGCCACTCATTGTTCCCTAAACACAAACTCAATTTCTTGCTTTTGCCTGTCAATTTCTTTCTCTGGCCTCTCACATGATTATGTCTGCTATAATCCTATGCATCTACCTCATGGCTTCCAGATGTCCCCAACTGGACAGAGCCACTTCATCCTCCCAATTCCTTCAAATTTTGTTTCTACTGTATGGTATTTTTTAATAGTGAGACTGGAATCACCATTACCAACAAAAATGTCTCACGTCTCACCCCTTTTGTGAGAAGACGCTCTTAAGAAGACCTGTGCTTTCTTGTCTTTTAGTCCCAGGGAGACTTATGATGGTACCTGTAATATGACTGGCAGTACCAGCAACACTACACAGTTTTGTGCTCTAGAGCTTTAATTCTTATTCTCTCTGAAGTCCTTTTCTACTTCTTTCTACAAATGTTTGTTGCTTAAACCCTTTTATGTATCTGCCAGAGTTACTCTGCCCTGATGCTCACTATCCCTTCACTCTGCATCCTTTCTGCATTCATATTTTTATTCAAAACACTTGCTGAGATTGCTCCATTATCCAACCAGGACTGCAAACCCCTGGAGATTGGGGCCTGTGAGTTCTGTATCCTTCTCTCTTCTTTCTAGTCTCATTGTCCTGTAAGGCCTTTCCACCCATCACAGCCTCAGGTATCTCAATGGCTACAGACTCCATTTAGGAAAATCCAGGGCTTAATTCAGTACTTTAGGAGAGAAAATTCTAAGGAAAGGTTAGTAAAACAAATGAAGAGCAAGACTAAACATGGTAGAACAGACAAAATAATCAAAATAAATGCTTGCCTGGGAGATTTAGAACTCATTTAATATTCCTAGGTACCCATACAGGGTAGATGGCACAGTTCATGAATCAGGAAAATGAGACATACCTGTGCACCAGTCCAGAAATGTGTCTGTACATATACTATGTGTTTTTGCTTTTTAAAATCCAACTCAAACAAAATTCACACCTTTGTTACTAATTATTTTAACAACATTCCTGTTTAGCATATACCATTATCCCATTTTACAGAAGGGGAAATTGTATGAGGAATTTAAGTACTAGCCTGGAGCCAGAGAGTAAGTCAATGACAGAGTCACAACAAAACCCAGGTCTTTCAGACTTTGAATCAGCTGCTCTTTTTGCTAATGAAATTAAAATGTTACTTCCTGACTTATATACAGGTTGTAACAGGAAGTAAAGAAAAAAATGCTACCCTATAAGACATGAACAAAAACATCAACACTATCTACTTGAGATAGTTATGTAGAATTAAAATCAAGTATCCTCCAGAAACTGCTAAATAAAATTGTAGACAAAAGGTGTTAGATTTCTGTGTTGGTATTTTAGGCTGTCAACAAAAATAATGTATGTATATATGTGTACATATATGTGTGTATACATTAGTGTATATATACACAGAATACGAATGTGTATATGCATACATGTGTGTTTGTGTGTGTGTGCGTATACACACCCAGATCTCCTCATTTCTTCCCATCATCAAAACTTAACCACCTTGAGTCACATTGTTAGGGGCTTGCTTAGTCACAGCCAGCAGAACTGAACAATTAATGTTTACTCTTGGGCTAAGGGATTATCCTTAAAAGCAACACTGTTTTTTTAACAGGGGGTTTCTGAAAACATAACAGACACATCACCAGCAGTCACTAACATTTATTGAATTCTAGGCACAGTAACTAGCATGTGCAACACTTAATAAATTTTAGTGTCTATTAAAATTCACACAATGAATATACATGTGCTATTCTAAACATGCGGAATACAGCAGTGAACAGAATGGACAAACATCCTGGCTTGTGGTGCCTGTGTTCTAGTGAAAGAGGCAGACAATACACAGGTAAAGAAATAAGTAAAATATAGAGCATGTTAGATAAGTGCTAAAGGGTAAAACTAAGTGAGAGTCTCACTGGGGGAAGGGAGGTTAGAATTGGGGGCTAAGTTGGTCAGAGAAGGTCTACCTCTGTATGATGGGTCAACAAGGAGGTTATCTGTGGGAGAAAATTCCAGAGGCTTGTGTGTGTCGGTGTTTGTTGATCATCAAGGGAGTACAGGGCATGAGGTCTGGGAGGACCTCGTAGGTCACCATATGAGGACACTGGCTTTAATGCCATATGAGGTGGAAGAAGAGAAATGTACTAAAAGCCCACTAAAAGGAAGCAAGACCAGGTAATAACCTAGGTAAAAGATGAAGGTGGTTAGACCTATGCCAGCAATAGATGTGGTGAGGAAGGTCAGAGGATCACTTGAGTCCAGGAGTTCCACACTACAGTGAGCTGTGAGCTATGATCATGCCACTACACTCCACCCTGGAGGATGAAGTGAGATCTCATCTCAAAAACAAAACAAAACCCAACACATTTGGGCTGAGCACTGGGAGGAATGGAAATGCCACTGGTGGGCTTGGGAACCAGGAGGATGCCAAGTACTCTGTCAAGTGCTTTATGCATATCATCTCGTTCAATCCTCAAGACAGCATTATAGAAACTATAATTTTCATTTTGTAGGTAAGGAAACAATGCTACTACAATAGTCAAGTAACTTGGCCAAAGTCACTCAGTCAGCAGGCAGCTGTAGGGATCTAAATCAAGAATGATCTTCCAGTGTAAGACTGAGTATAACCACATGCTTCACCACCACAGTCATGGCACCGACAGGCTGGTGGGACACAGATGTGGTGACTTCTAAATCAGATCATGAGTAATTAGACATCCATGATGGTTTGTTGAGAGGAGGGAAATAGACAATCCCTGGGCATGCTGTAAAAGAGAAGGCCAAAATGATACCATTTAGAAATACACATGTACACAGAGTACTCATTTATGAGCACATGCAGAAAAATATCAAAAGTTATATGAACCCAAATATGAGCATCATTTATCTCTGGTGAGATGATAATTTGGTTTGTCTTTTTGTTTATCCTTATCTTCTAATCTGCCTACAAGTCAAATTGCTGGGATTACTAACTTTAGAGAAAAATCTACAATTTCCCTATAATTCCTATGGCTCAGTCCATTATTTAGGTCATGAGACCTAAAATTGTAAATTAGAAAAGGTAGAAGCAAAGAAGACCACCAGTTCACCAACATGAGAATGAAAGGTGAGGCACAATCTGGGACTGAATCCATCATCTAGCCTTTAGAGTGTCCTTCCCCACTCCAAAAAAACTGCCCTCGGTAAACAAAAAGAAGACAGAGGAGGCACAGCGAGGCCTGCAAGAGGCTAGGAGATCCAGATGATCTGGGAAGAGAAGGGTCAGAGAAGGTCCCCAGGAAAGGAAAGAAAATGGGATCTCAGCTCAGGCTCTGAGCCTAGATAGATAATAGGTCAGAATCAAGGGAAGAGAGAAAACGTACTAGAAACAGAAAGTAAAAGAATAAGGTTGGGCATGCCTAGTCAGTGGTCTTAAGTGCAGAAACGTGACTGAAGTTGGTAGCAAAGGAAGCTTTATCAGATTAGTAGTGAGTAGGGCCCATTCCACACTTAGAAGGTTCCAGAGCTAGGACAGAGCTAAGGGCATTTTCTACAGTCTATGGGGAACTGCAAAAATGGACGGCTATCAAAGTTGGCAGATCCATCCTGAAACACATGCACGTCTCCCAGATGGAACCCAACACATAAAATATATAATTAAAAAACTGAACTCATTTGTTTTTATTCTGTCCTATGCACGTGGCATCTACAACACTAAATCTGTTAAAAAAAAATACATCTCCAAAGGACAGATGCCTATAATACCAGGAAATTTATAGACTGGATGTATAATGAAGAGCCTTCAGTGCCCAAAATATGCCACTGTAGGATTCTGGGCAAGTCAATAGCTTCTCCAAGTCTCAGTTTTCTTCACTGAGAAAGGAGAATAACACTACTTGTTTTAAGGGTTGATTGTATCAAATGATACAATACACATTAATGCTTACTACTCTAAAATCAGTTAGTTTGGAACCTGCCTCTTGAATAGGATAATAATTTTTGACATGGATTAAAAGGAACAGAACAAAACAGATTTTGAGTAAGCACATAATTGATGCAGCTACATGTGTGGAGGGAATAGAAAGGAGGGAAAGAGGTAATCCCTGAGCACCTACCTTGCTTTATTGCTGGAGATAAATATTACAGCTTATCAGAGAATTAAATAATGGGTAAGTATCCGAAAAAGCACCAGTAATATGAGGGAATTTTGTCCTCATGAGTTTCATACATGGATGGAGTTTAGACAACACATTTTCAAAAACTGAGATGTCACTCTAAGAACAAACATTTCCCAGAATATAACCCCCATTCAACTGTTCTGCTCGCTGCTATATCCATAGCACACAGTCCCCAATAATTTTTGGTAAATAACTAAACATAAAAATGTTCTGAAGCTCCATTAAAGACTACAATTATGGTCCCACAGTATATGGCTAATATATAGTAAAGTGAAATGACCTTAAGAAAAGGTTCTTCCGGAACTCAGAAAATAAATTCTATTGAATAGAAACCTCCCCCTCCAACTTCATATCAAATGCTCTTTATATCAAATGCTTTTAAGAACTTTAATCACAACCATCGAAGACATAAAAAAAGGGAAAAATTGTTGACAGTGTCTGTGGGTCATAAACTACCTTTGGGAACAGAAGAGGAGTTAAGTAGTTTGATTCAATCAACTTAATGTGAAAAGAAACACTGATGGGATTAAAATAGGGTAAAATGAAAGATAAATGTTAGTGGAGAATCTAGTCTATTGAATAAAACACAAACCAAAAACAGATTAGCATCTGACAAAAGCAACTGCCAATCAGTACAAAGATTATGCTTGGAAATTAGATTCCATTCACAGAAGAGAGGAAAATGCTATAGAAATAATCTCTTATGTTGGCTGATACCCACTTAACAAATAAGGCCCCCAAAAGGCTTATCAAAGGTTAAAATACAAAAAAAAAAAAAAAAAGTCTTTCCCAAAGTGACCTCCAAACATGAAATACAGAATGTTAGTAAACTTCTAAAAATCCATCCTAGTTCTCTCAGCATATAATCCCAGAAAAGCCATACTGGAAAGTTGTATCTGTTCATTCCTGCAGGATTAACAAAACCCCTAGAAACAGTTCTAAAACTTGATGCCATGGCAGGTCCCAAGCAGGATCTGTGGTCATCATTTTTCTTCTTTACTTCCTTCCCTTTTGGCATGGGATCAATTTTCAGAGAAAATTGTCACCCACTAAGTGACCATTTCCATTTTACTAGCCTCTCTACAAATCAATGCAACTGCTTATGCCAGAATGTTTTACCACTAAGCTCTCTCTACCCCTGACCCCAACCCATAACCCAACTGTCCAATGGTTTCTTTTCTTTCTTCAAATCTTTTCACCACCAACTGACTAATATACCCTGTGACATCTAATTTCTCCTTATACAACTGTCTTATGCTATTCCTTTTAGGCAAATGTCTGACCCAAAAGAAGCTATGGTAGAAAACACATATCAAGATATATACCTGACTTCATTTCGCTCGGAAATAAAATATATTCAAACAAAGTTGGAGATTTCCCCAAATTAGTAAATGCTATTTCCCCATCAAATTCCATATACAAATCAAGGATTCACAGAGACCCCCAAAAACCTCCTATGAGAAAGATACTGCAACAGAAGTCAGCCCTGTCATTATAAAAGATTAGAAACTATAAGTGTCATGGCTTCTAGAAAGAGTTCAGCCCTTCTCATTACCCTTCCACAAAATTTATTCACTAAACAAATGTTAACTGAGTCTAAGTCATGATCATCTTCTACCTGGACTACTGCAATGGCATTTTTTTTTTTTTTTTTAGAGTTTCACTCTTGTTGCCCAGGTTGGAGTGCAATGCTGCGATCTCAGCTCACTGCAACCTCCGCCTCCTGGGTTCAAGCGATTCTCCTGCCTCAGTCTCCCGAGTAGCTGGGATTACAGGTATGTGCCATCACGCCCAGCTAATTTTGTATTTCTAGTAGAGATGGGGTTTCTCCAAGTTGTGAGGCTGGTCTCAAACTCTCAGCCTCAGGTGATCCACTTGCCTCTGCCTCCCAAAGTGCTGGGATTACAGGCGTGAGCCACCACGCCCAGCCTGCAGTGGCATCTCAACCAGGCCCCCTGCTTCAACTCTTGCTTCCCTAGTCTCTGTAATGCAGCCACATTCTTTTAAACACCAGTTTCATTCTTTTAAAACACCAGGTTTTTCATATCCTTCTCCCCTAATGGCTTACTGCCACATTTGAAATAAAATCCAAACTCCTTATCCATCCATGGCTCACAAGGCTAACACCTCACTGACCTCCTGCATCAGGGTTCTCTCCCAGCTAACTCAGCCACATGGACCCTTGACCGTTCCTCAGGTAAGTGCCAGAACTCTGCACTTTCTGTGTCTCCTGCATCAACTACTCTTCCCCAAACACATGCATGGTATTCACTCTCATTTGATTCAGATGTCTGTTCAACCATCTTCTAATCAGAGGAGTCTGGTTTCCGATCATTCAATCTAAAGTACCAGCCTCTCCCCACTCTCTCCAACACTTGCAAGCCCTTTGCACTGCTTTATTTTTCTCCATCACACTAGCCAATATCATATATTCATTTACTGCCTCCCTTACACTGGCCAGAATATAAGCTTCACGAAAGCATCAGGATCCTTTACTCAGTGGAGCATCCCCAGGGTCTATCGGTGCCTGAAATATGGTATACTGCTTAATAAACACTAGTTGAATGAATGAATGAATTTCAGGTAAGCACTTTGTATGTGCCAGGCACTGGGATAGAAAGGTGAATGATGAATAGGGTCTAGTTCTTCCCCTTGAGGAACTTACAATTTAGCAATGAAGGAGACATATATACAACTAATAGAATGAAATGTGATATGGGCTTAATGTGTTTGAGGAAAACTGTGGAGTGGAGTAGCTAGAGATAAGGCAGGAGAGACTGGGACCAGATGCTGAGGGCCCTTGAGCTTCAGGCTAAGGAGCTGGTTCTCCATCTGAGCACCCACTATGGAGTTCTAAATAGAAATGGAAAGAAGAAATGGATCTAAAATTAGAATGGAAACAACTTAGTGACTATCTGGATAAAAGGAACTGAGGAGTTCTAGGTTTCTAGGAAATGCCACTGGCCAGATACGAGGAAGAAAAAGTTGGAAGAAAAATATAGTAAATCTGGTTTCATGCAAGTTGAGTTTGAGGAACCTATGACCACCACACTAAGTCATAATTTCTCTGGTGACTTGGAAACTCTAGAGTCCTGCTCCTTGGCTTTCTTCTTCAGGTGTTCACCATGTCCCAGTAGAGCTGAGCCACACGTATCACACATAGGTGCCACTGTGTTAGCCATTATTTAGCCATGCATGAAAAATCCTTACATCTTCAGCCTTCATCAAATCTCTAAGTTTAATATGTTCTTTATCATGCTTTCTTAAAACAAGGGATACCTGTTTTGCAGTGAAGTCTGACACAAATGCAGAGATTTCCCAGGAATTTTTCCTAGTCAGTGGCTTGAAAGTCCAATTCTAAATGGGGAGACAACATTATTTACAATTGTAAAAACCAAAAAAGTTCTCAAGGACAGGCATTATTGTTGCTTTCCATTTTGAGAGGTCATGGAAATCCCATGTGGATTTACGTATATATAAACATATATACATACAGATATGCAGGGGAGACATTAAGAATGAAAGGAGGAAAAATTTAAGTACAAAAAAAATCAAAACCTATGTTTAATAGTAAAGGACAATTTTATACAACATAAAGATAGAACCAAATGTCACAATGTCACAAATTCAAGATTAAGATTTTCCAGCACCTCAAACATTTGGTTAAAGGGTTTATTGCTGGGAGTTTTTGGCCAAATTCTAGTGATCTCATTTCTTAAGTAAGTGATCCTCTAGTTCCATCCCATGATTCTTCTCTAAAAAGTAGAAGAAACTGAAATAAGAAGGATAGACTGATTTTTTAAGGGATCCAGGACTTTTAAAATCAAAGTAAAAATATTCTGTTGGGAATTACTGGCCAAATAGGCTTAATTTGGAGAAGTCGTATAAAACAGGCTCCTAAGTGGCACACCTCCTAGTGGAGATTGGGGATGGGGTCAACACTCAGAAGAGTCAAATACAAAAACAGGGAGAAGTTAACTCTCTGCTAAGAATATCCCATAACCAGAAGGATCAATTTCTCCAAAATGCCAGATAAACAAAACTGCTATAATGCAATAACTAAATAACTAGAAACAAAGGGTCCCTCTGATACTACAAAAGATTTTAACCTTCTCTATGAGAGCCAGGAAAAGGTAGTTTATCCATCTTCACTGCTTGATGTGTCATCTGTATCTTTCTTCCTACCTCCTACCTGTCTGGTGGGCCAGATACACTGAAGAGAGGTCACAGGGAGAGAGACAGGAAACCAGCGATGGACCCCAGTAGAAGGACAGGGTGGACGATGCTTAGGAAGATCATGACGACTCTGCTTTCATTTCCCACATCCCTATCCCGCCAGAGGTGAAAATCAGAGAGGACTTAGTTGGATGCATTCTGGACACAAACGCTCTGAAGCTAATAAAATTCAATATAATTGGCCCATCCAATTATGTTAGAATCTAATAAAATGTAGTTGTATATATATATGACAACAGAAATCATCTAGACTGAGACGTCATTATTCCGTTTGTGAGAAAAACGAGGCTCCTGAGATGTAAGGATCCACCCAAACCACTCAGCAAGTTGGACACACCTGAGGCCTCATTCCAGCACTGAGTTAATTTTGTCAAATCAACTGGTTTCTTGCTTTGAGCAATTTAAATATATAAATGACTACAGTATTGTCAATAAGTACCAGGAAAACGCAAAATCATAAAGCTTAAAGAGAAATAGATTTGAGGAAAATTTCCTGTTGGGAAAATTGTAATTATTAATATACTTTAAGAAAATTAGTTTTATGGTTAAGAGGATACTTTATAAGAATAAAATTACTTAAAAGTCACAGTTCTGTGAAAGATTCTGATTCGTAACTGTTAAGACTTACTCAAAGTTATATTGTGGGGTAGTAAATTATTTGCCTGAATTTAAAAATTTTGATGAAAAACCGGAAAAGGAGCAAACTTACAAAAACAAAACAACAAATATCAGGGAAAACTCAGGAAGCATAATTTGAGTTGACCTTGCCTTTGTACAGTACTGGTATTTTGTTCCAGTGGGATTTTAGGAAAAAAGTTTAAAAGTCAAAAAGGCAAAAGCAGAACTAAAGTTTGGCAGCAAAAATAATGCATTTAATAAACTCCAAGTATCTTGTATTTCTAAAGCCTATTCCTATTTATTAGCCTCTTAAAACCAAAGGAACAGAAAAAAACGTCTTCCACCAAATTAAATGCAGCCCAGACCAACAATTCTATTTCAGATTCAGCTTAAACTCTAGGACTGTCAAACCATCTGTAAATAAACACTGATCAGTTAAATGGCTTTCTTTATACCAGTTAAGACCGTCCATCCCTGGGAAAGTGTCAGGAACTGCTTTTATTTCAATTTGTAGATATATAATTTATCAGGTTAAAAAAAAGAGTTGTTATAAAACATACTAGGAAAAACCTTATCATTTCTGTCAAAGAACATTCAGCATGAACTCTCAGTGTGCATTTTGTTTTCTTGCTGTAAGATGAATTCCTTAATATTTAACCACATGGTGGATCATGAAACACACTCCACTGGAGAGAAACTCAGCTCTTTAACAAACCAATTTCCAACCCTCATTCATGGAAACCATAAGGCGTTCCTTTAACTAAGGAGAAAATCAAACATCAGTGAAGGGACAATGTAGGCAACCCCAGTAAACAGCCAGTCTGAGGGGGTCCATGTTGAGTTTAGAGCTTCAGATATGAAAGCCACCTTGGATACACCTGGAACTAAGTGGGAGTTGCCTACTTAAAACTCTGAGAAATTTGAATGCAACAGTCACATATTGTTTTAAGTAGTAGTAGTAGAAGGTGGGAATCCATTCAGGTCCATCCACTTCCCACCTACCCAAAGGCATACCCTTTGGTATTGTTTTCCCAACAACCCAAGCCACTCTGGAACAGGTGTTCTGAATTCTGTGTGAAACATCTTTAAATACATATTGCTAAGGCTCTAGATGTCTGACTCTGTGTGGGAAAAGCTATGCAGCCAATTTATAGTGCTTAGGCCAACTGTCGATTTATTTAATGGGTTAGTAACACCAACCAAGACTAGGTGGTTGATCTGTTGTTCAATAGCCTGTACTGTCTGAAGATGTCTGAGAGTTTTCTTTCTTATTAAGTGAAAACAGAGCATCATCTCTAACCATCTTATTCATCATCCTGTATGAATCTTGCATAAAACAGGCAACAAACAACATTTTCTTTTAAAGCTTCCAGACAGTAAGTTAGTCCAACAGGGTATGTGTTTAAAAAAGAAAAAAAAATAGTATGTTTTGATCCCAACAAGTTGATAAATTTCATTTATAAATAATAAGTAGATGTTTGGAGTGCAAATCCCATAATCATTGAATCTTAGAGCTTTTACTTGACTTACTTGTATTTTAAGAGCAGCCACTGAATTAACCAGAGTCCTACAAGGATCATGCCATTAATTTCACAAATAGAAAAGGCCCACTGCACCCGGTTAAAATGGTCAAAAAATGTGTCCGGTAGTGGAGGCTGCACCTCCTTAGGAGGTACTCGTTCGTGGACGACCGAGATCATCACTGTGGTGAGAACGAAACAGGAAAGTGCATAAAGAAAGGCCAGAAAAGTCTTGCCCCACTCCATGGGGTACTGAGAGCGCTCCAGTTCTGGCATGGGGATCTTTATCATCTCTTTCCTATACCCATTTGGCATCCCGTTGGGTTTAATCTTGATGCTGAAGCTGCCGTCGGGGGTGGGGATGTCTACGCCAATGTTGAGGTGCCCATTGGCATGGCCGTTCTTGTGTGCTTCCAAATGGTGCTCCATTTTCAGGGTTTCTATCATGTCCAGGAGCCGCTGCCCATTGTCAGAGGAGACTCGGCACAAGGGGGGTTTTTTGAAATCCTCTTGGGTTAGGTTGATCAAGTCCTGGCCTGTGAAATGCTCCAGAGGCTCACAGTATTCTGGCATAGCATTCTCCAGCAGCCAGTCTGCCACCTTCTTGGGTGACCAATAAACCACTTCCTTCATTGTACTGGCAGACAGCAGGCAGTCCCCAGCTCTCTCTTGGCAGGTCAGCAGTCACTGTTCCGACAGGGCAGGACACTGTCCTGCCTCGGCTCGTTCATCCTGTGGGGCCTCATGAGCAGAGACTTGTTTGGCAAGATGGTCAGGGCAGTTTTTAAACACCTCATGTAGCTGTCCAGGGTTCCTGAGCGCCCAAGTATTAATTCACCTCATTTTTGAGCAGGATTCTTCCTTCTGTGAAAGCAAGAGAAAATATCAAGATGCTGTACTTCCAAATTACCCCTCTCAAAACGCAAAGCCTTATATACATAAGGAAAGTAGAAAACCAGTTATTGGTAAACTTAATAGTTTTCAAACATGTATTCGTTTCAGGGACTACTGATTTCCTGGTTATTAGTCTTTTGCGACACACATTGAATTGGATCTGAAAATGGATGTTGTCAAAGGAGACATATTTTATAGAATTTCCAACGGTCAGCCGGGCGTGGTGGCTCACGCCTGTAATCCCAGCGCTTTGGGAGAACGAGGCGGGCGGATCACGAGGTCAGGAGATAGAGAGCATCCTGGCTAACACGGTGAAACCCTGTCTCTACTAAAAATACAAAAAATTAGCCGGGTGTGGTGGCGGGCGCCTGTAGTCCCAGCTACTCCTGCCCAGGCTGAGGCAGGAGAATGGTGTGAACCCGGGAGGCGGAGCTTGCAGTGAGCCGAGATCAGCCACTGTACTCCAGCCTGGGCGACAGAGCGAGATTCCTTCTCAAAAAAAAAAAATAATAATAATTTCCAATGGTCTATTTTCTAAGAAGCAACTTGACAGTGCTTTGGACACTTTTCAACCTGGTCAAGAGACCAGGTATTCTCTTTGTCCTTACATGCTTCCTGAGATAATTTAAAAGAATAAAATATATTTGCTTACTCTACCTCGTGAAGAATGTTTAAAAATGTACATAACATACAGCAACTCACAGAATTGCTGAGCTTCAAAATCAACTGGTTTAATATTTTTATATTCTTTAAAAAAAAAAAATCAGTGAATCCCCTTTTCCATATGTGCTTAGGTCCCAAATAGATAAAAGATCTACAAATGCCGCTGCTTGGGTTGAAGCCCATGTGAAGGGCCAAGGTCCTGACTGCTCTGTTGATCTTTCTTAATCTCAGCCCCTCTCGGGTTCTGTGAGATCCCACAGTTTAAAAATTAAGGATCTGATCCAACTCCTTCATTTATAAATGAAGAATGTGAGTTCTAGAAATGTCAAGAAACTTGCCCATGGCCAAATGGCAGTCTGCATAGAAGAGTTACAAGTTAAGTTTCTGAGTTCTAGTTCAGTGGATTTACTTATTAAAATATTTTACTAACTATGTGAAAATAACCAAATGCACATCTGTAGGGAAGATTTTAAAGTAGGATTCAAAATTTTATAAATTTATGCATAAATAGAAACATACATGTATAATGTGTATATATAATACATATAACTGTAACTATGGCTAACTATGGTACACAGGTTGAGAATCCCTAATGCTGAAACTCAAAATCCAAAATGCTCCAAAATCCGAAACTTTTTGAGAATTGACATGATACTCAAAGAATATGCTCATTGGAGCATTTCAGATTTTTGGATCAGGGATGCTCAACTGAGTGCATTCTGGAAATATTCCAAAGTATCCCCAAGATTGAAATCCGAAACGCTTCTGGTCCCAAGCATTTTGGATAAGGGATACTCAACTTACATAATATTGTATAAAACAACTGGAAAGAAATATATCACATATTAACTGCAGTTATACTTAATGATGGTTCTGTAGGTATTTTCTACTTTTCTCCACCTATTTTTCTTTAATAAGCATATATTACTTTTATCACAATCATACAAAATAAAAAACAAGAAAAGTTAAAAATAAAAGACCTTAACAAACTCCTTAACAAAGCATAATAATAGCTGATGAAATGTGGCCTTTGGCAGAAGACGGACCACAGTTTGACTCTCAGCATCTCCCATACATAATCCATTATGTGAGCTTCAGCTTATTCACCTCTAAAATGAAGATAATGATAATCAAGTATTTCCTTCACAGGGTTGTTGTCGATATTTAACTAAGAAATCATATGTGAAAGTTCATGAAACATAACCTAGCTCTAAAAGCAGTGATTTTCAGATGGGTCTTTGGGTACCCATATCCTTTTGTTTTTCTTTCTCAAATTATCTATTATATCCAGTAGCCACTGTCCACTACATCTCACTATAAAAAAAACTCTACCTACCAGGGGGCTAATTTTTTTTCTCAAATGATGACTGTTGCAAAGATCTGGAGATTTAAGGGCTTGAAATGCTATTTCCCTGAGTATGTTTTTGTGAAATAATAATCTGATAAAATCTTCCAAGCTTTTAAAAAATATATAGCCAAATAAGCCTAGGAATACATACTATAATCTCTCCTGGGGATAGCAGTATGCATTAGGATGTTAAAACCTCCAGGAAATCCTCCAATAAAGAAACTATTTACCAGGATTTCTCAAGCCGACTTCATCAAGGCTGTCCTACTCCTTGCCCCTTTTCCTATAGGACTCATCTCTACTGAATCCCAAAATCTTTTGCTTGTCAGGGTGAGACAGGGTCTTACTCTATTGCCCAGGCTGGAGTGCTGTGGTGCAATCATGGCTCACTGCAATCTCTATCTCCTGGGTGCAAGTGATTCTCCCAACTCAGCCTCCCAGAAGCTGGGACCACAGGTGCATGCCACTGTATCTGGCTAATTTTTAAAATATCTGTAGAGATTGGGGTGGGGGGTCTCACTATGTTGCTCGGGCTGGCCCAAATCTTACTTTAGAAAGAATCCCATCTTACTCTGGGAGTCCCAATCTTACTCTGAGAGTCCACTCTCAGTTTTTCAGTCCATATAACAACCAATCAAGTGGCAATAATAGCTTTTAAAGATATTTCAGACTTTGCAAACAAACTGGGTGTTCCCTCTTCTGAGCATCCATAGTACCGTGCACTTTCCCTGTCACACCTTCCTGTGACTAAGTGTCTGTCTAGACTCCCCAAAGAGCCTACGAGTGAATGTGAAGTAGCTACAATGTTAAGCACCCATAGATCTACATGCCCAGGGCTCAGAAGATAATCAATGTCTGCTCAATATCTTCAAAAATATTCCTTTGACCTAGTAATGTGTAGATGGCTTAATGGAAAACAAACCTGCTGAAAATACCATTGACAATGAAAATGGCTGTAAAACAATTTGGACGCGCAAGGAGAATAAGATGGGCATTCTCTAGAGAAATGTAAAACCAAAGTACATCTCTGACTGCTTAAAAACCACCGTAAAGAATTTCAATTGCCACCAGTACTGCCCAGAGAGTGTCAAGAAGACACACATGCCAAATGGGAGTTCTGGCAGAAGGTCAGGAAGAAAAGGGGAACTCCTTGGCCTCAGACCCAAGGCCTCCCTTCAAACACTCTCAGCAGAGTTAGGAAAACAGCCAAAGGAACCCTCAACATCTTGAAATGGGTATGAGAACTCTAAAGAAATATTCTCAGTGGAGTGTTGAGGCCCAAGGGAGATGAACACAGGCTTTTCACCTAGGTTCTTCATTTCCCCCTTGCCCAGCACAGGAAGCCAGCCAAGATAGGAAACTCCCTGAGAACCACAGGGACCAGACAGAGGCCAAAGTGTTATTTCAGTCCTCTCTGATGAGAGGAAGAGTCACATAATCTCCTCTCAAGAGATAATCAACTTTTTAAGAAATATTTATTTATTTGTTATTTTACTTTAAGTTCTGGGATACATGTGCTGACACGCAGGTTTGTTACTTAGGTATACATGTGCCATGGTGGTTTGCTGCACCTATCAATCCATCATCTAGGTTTTAAGCCCCTCATGCATTAGGTATTTGTCCTAACGCTTTCCCTCCCCTTTCCCCCTACCCTATGACAGGCCCCAGTGTGTAATGTTCTCCTCCCTGTGTCCAGCTCCCATTTATGAGTGAGAACATGTGGTTTTTGGTTTTCTGTTCATGTGTTACTTTGCTGAGGATGATGGGTTCCAGCTTCACCCATGTCCCTGCTATTTATGACAAACCCATAGCCAATATCATACTGAAAGGACAAATGCTGGAAGCATTCCCTTTGAAAACTGGCATAAGACAAGGATGCCCTCTCTCACCACTCCTATTCAACATAGTATTGGAGTCCTATAGGAAAAGGGCAATAAGGCAAGAGAAAGAAATAAAGCGCATTCAAATAGGAAGAGAGTAAGTCAAATTGTCTCTGTTTGTAGATGACATGATTGTATATTTAGAAAACCCTATCATCTCAGCCCAAAAAGTCCTTAGGCTGATAAGCAACTTCAGCAAAGTCTCAGGATACAAAATCAATGTGCAAAAATTACTAGCATTCCTATACACTGATAATAGACAAGCAGAAAGCCAAATCATGAGTGAACTCCCATTCACAATTGCTACAAAGAAAATAAAATACCTAGGAATCCAACTGACAAGGGATGTGAAGGACCTCTTCAAGGAGAACTACAAACCACTACTCAAGGAAATAAGAGATGACACAAACAAATGGGAAAACATCCCATGCTTATGGATAGGAAGAATCAATATCATGAAAATGGCCATACTGCCCAAAGTAATTTATAGCTTCAATGCTATTCCCATCAAGCTACCACTGACTTTCTTCACAGAACTAGAGAAACCTACTTCAAATTTCATATGGAACCAAAGAAGAGCCTGTAAAGCCAAGACAATCCTAAGCAAAAAGAACAAAGTTGGAAGCATCACGCTACCTGACTTCAAACTATACTACAAGGCTACAGTAACCAAAACAGCATGGTACTGGTACTAAAACAGGTATATAGACAATCAACTTTAAAATAGGAAAAAATCAAATGCTAGGAGCCAATTTCATAATGGTCCATCAAGTATCCATCTGGCATTACAAGCATGGCAAGCACATATCTAACAAAGGAACTCGAATATTGCAAAGGTGAGCCCCATCAGGGCCTCTTTGAGACAGTGAGACAAATTAATGGCTTCTATTAACTAACTGGGACAACAAAATTATTCCTTCCTTAAAATAACCCCTGTGCTTCCCCATAACTTGGAATTCTCTACGTATTCATCAAGAAGTTTAGATTCTTCCTTTAGTCTTTAAGGTCCTTCTCTGCAAAGCCTTAGCTGTCTACTCCACTTCATAATCCTTTTCTCCTCCCTGAATTCCTAAACCATGAATACCTGTGGTACACAATACAATTTAATGGTCTTATGTGTGTGCTATGGTAGAAAGAGTATTAGCCAAGTGAGCCAGGGAGCCTGCGTTTGAGAGTCTATCCAGCTACTTCCCTTCTCGACAAAGTCCTTTAGCCTTGCCAAGCCTGTTTCCTCTGGGAAATAGGATTAACAACTACCTTACCTACTGATATAGCTTGGCTGTGTCCCACCCAAATCTCATTCTGAATTGTATTCCCATAATTCCCATTCTCCTCATGTGTTGTGGGAGAGACCCAATAGGAGATAATTTGAATCATGGAGGTGGTCCCCTTATACTGTTCTTGTGGTAGTGAATAAGCCTCATGAGATCTGATGGGTTTATCAGAGGTTTCCACTTTTGCTTCCTTCTCATTTTCTCTTACCACCACCATGTAAGAAGTGCCTGTCACTTCCTGCCATGATTCTCAGGCCTCTGCAGCCATGTGGAGCTGTAAGTCCATTTAAACCTCTTTTTCTTCTCAGTCTTGGGTATGTCTTTATCAGCAGCATGAAAACAAACTAATACAGTACATTGGTACCAGTAGAGTAGGGTGTTGCTGAAAAGATATCTGAAAATGTGGAAGCGACTTTGGAACTGGGTAACAAGCAGAGGCTGGAACAGTTTGGAGGGCTCAGAAGAAGACAGAAAAATGTGGGAAAGTTTGGAACTTCCTAGAGACTTGTTGAATGGCTTTTCCCAAAATGCTGATAGCAATATGAACAATAAGGTCCAGGCTGAGGTGGACTCAGATGGAGATGAGGAACTTGTTGGGAACTGGAGCAAAGGTACTCTTGTTATGTTTCAGCAAAGAGACCGGAAGCATTTTGCCCCTGCCCTAGAGATTTGTGGAACTTTGAACTTGAGAGAGACGTTTTAGGGTACCTGGCGGAAGAAATTTCTAAGCAGTAAAGCATTTAAGATGTAACCTGGGTGCTGTTAAAGGCATTCAGTTTGATAAGGGAAGCAAAGCATTCAGTTTGATAAGGGAAAATCTGCAGCCTGACTATGTGATAGAAAAGAAAAACACATTTTCCTGGGAGAAATTCAAGCTGGCTGCAGAAATTTTCATAAGTAGTAAGGAGCTTAGTGTTAATCCCCAGGACAATGGGGGAAATGTCTCCAGGGCATGTCAGAAGTTCTTCACAGCAGCCCCTCCCATCACAGGCCCAGGAGGAAAACGTTGTTTCATGGGCCGGGTCCAGGGTCCCCGTGCTGTGTGCAGACTAGGGACTTGGTGCCCTGTGTCCCAGGCACTCTAGCAGTGGCTGAAAGGGGCCAAAATACAGCCCGGGCTGTGGCTTCAGAGGGTGGAAGCCCCAAGCCTTGGCAGCTTCCCCATTGTGTTGAGCCTGCGGGTGCACAGAAGTCAAGAATTGAGGTTTGGGAACTTCTGCCTAAATTTCAGAAGATGTATGGAAATGCCTGGATGCCCAGGAAAAAGTTTGCTGCAGGGGCCCGGCCCTCATGGAGAACCTCTGCTAGGGCAGTGCAGAAGGGAGATGTGGGGTCAGAGCCCCCACATAGAGTTCCTACTGGGGTACTGCCTAGTGGAGCTGTGAAAAGAGGGCCACCATCCTCCAGACCCCAGAATGGTAGATCTACTGGCAGTGTGCACCATGCACCTGGAAAAGCCACACTCAATGCCAGTCCATGAAATCAGCCGGGAGGGAGGCTGTACCCTGCAAAGCCAAAGGGGTGGGGCTGCTCAAGACCATAGGAACACACCTTTTGCATCAGTGTGACCAAGATGTGAGACCTGGAGTCAAAGGAGATCATTTTGGAGCTTTAATATTTGACTGCCCCACTGGAGTTTGGACTTACATGGGTCTGTAACCCCTTTGTTTTGGCCAATTTCCCCCATTTGGAAATGCTGTATTTACCCAATACCTGTACCCCTACTGCATCTAGGAAGTAACTAGCTTGCTTTTGATTTTACAGACTCATAGGCAGAAGGGACTTGTCTTGTTTCAGATCAGACTTTGGACTGTGGACTTTTGGATTAATGCTGAAATGAGTTAAGACTTTGGGGGATTGTTGGGAAGGCATGATTGGTTTTGAAATGTGAGGATGTGAGATTTTGCGGGGACAGGGGCAGAATGATATGGTTTGGCTGTGTGCCCACGCAAATCTCATTTTGAATTGAATTCCCATAATTCCCATGTATTGTGACAGGGACCCAGTGGGAGACAATTTAAATCATGGGCAGTTTCCTCCATGCTGTTGTCATGGTAGTGAATAAGTCTCATGAGATCTGATGGGTTTATCAGGGGTTTCCATTTTTGCTTGCTCCTCATTTTTCTCTTGCCGCCACCATGTAAGAAGTGCCTTTTGCCTCCTGCCATGATTCTGAGGCCTCCCTAGCCATGTGGAACTGTAAGTCCAATTAAATATCTTTTTCTTCCCAGGCTCGGGGTGTCTTTATTAGTAGTGTGGAAACGAACTAATACACCTACCTTCACACAGGCTGCTACTGCTGGGAGGATTCAATCATGTAAAAGGAATAAAAGCTACTAATTACTCTAGGAAGTATATCTTGGTCTTCTTGTAACAACCTACACTTCTTATCTATTGCCCAATTCGGTCCACAGTGACACTTCATAAATATATACTGAAGCTGCCACTTACAAATGACATATTTAAAGCCCAATCATTCTGACCCACGAGTAAAGAGAGCCTTCGAAATTTCAAGAGCAAATAAACTTTTATTTTTCCAAGCAAGTTTTGAAACTTGAAATAAAGGTATACATGCTGTTTTCCTGCAACTGATGCTGAAATTGTGCAAAAGAGGGAAAAGCTCATTGCTATGGAAGTGAACTGTTGGACAGCTATTCAGTACTTCAAAGGTCACTGCTAAAAAGTGGACCCCCAAGACCCCAGAGCCCAGCTATACAGGGTGAGGTAAGAGTTACTCTTCCCTGAATTCACACACTGTGGTGTTTTTGAAAAGGGAAAGACAAAATATCATATCTAGACCCAGAAGACTGTATGTTAGCCTGGGCTCAGAGAAGAACTGCCACCATCCCCAGAAAAGCCATGCTGAATCCATTATTGGGAGAATGTTAAAAAATAACATAGAGCCCAAATTACTAGACATTTTTCAGAACTGGTAATAATATAAGAGTAAAAATATGCATAAATTCTTTATCCCAAAATAACACAAAATTTGAGACACAGAAGTAGCACAGAAATACTTCGTTCATATCTAAGTTTTAGAGATAAGTAAACTAAAATGCAGTGAGATTGTGATTGGTCTAAAATCTCATACATAGCAAAGAGTCACCTTGGGGCTAGACCAAGACCCAAAATGCTTTTTAGGGCTCTCCCACTGAAATAGATTCAATAGTCTCACAGATCTAAGCTTGTATCAAGGGTAGTCTAAAAAGTTTCTTAAAATTATAATGGTGTTCTAAATACAAACTACCATCAGAGAATACTATAAACACCTCTATGCAAATAAACTAGAAAATCTAGAAGAAATGAATAAATTCCCCGACACATACACTCTCCCAAGACTAAACCAGGAAGAAGTTGAATCTCTGAACAGACCAATAACAGGCTCTGAAATTGAGGCAATAATCAATAGCTTACCAACCAAAAAAAGTCCAGGACCAGATGGATTCACAGCCGAATTCTACCAGAGGTACAAGGAGGAGCTGGTACCATTCCTTCTGAAACTATTCCAATCAATAGAAAAAGAGGGAATCCTCCCTAACTCATTTGATAAGGCCAGCATCATCCTGATACCAAAGCCTGGCAGAGACACAACAAAAAAAGAGAATTTTAGACCAATGTCCCTGATGAACATCGATGCAAAAATCCTCAATAAAATACTGGCAAACCGAATCCAGCAGCACATCAAAAAGCTTCTCCACCATGATCAAGTGGGATTCATCCCTGGGATGCAAGGCTGGTTCAACATACGCAAATCAATAAACGTAATCCAGCATATAAACAGAACCACTGACAAAAACCACATGATTATCTCAACAGATGCAGAAAAGGCCTTTGACAAAATTCAACAACCCTTCATGCTAAAAACTCTCAATATATTAGGTATTGATGGGATGTATCTCAAAATAATAAGAGCTATCTATGACAAACCCACAGCTAATATCATAATGAATGGGCAAAAACTGGAAGCATTCCCTTTGAAAACTGGCACAAGACAGGGATGTCCTCTCTCACCACTCCTATTCAACATAGTGTTGGAAGTTCTGGCCAGGGCAATCAGGCAGGAGAAGGAAATAAAGGGTATTCAATTAGGAAAAGAGGAAGTCAAATTGTCCCTGTTTGCAGATGACATGATTTTATATCTAGAAAACCCCATCGTCTCAGCCCAAAATCTCCTTAAGCTGATAGGCAACTTCAGCAAAGTCTCAGGATACAAAATCAATGTGCAAAAATCACAAGCATTCTTATACACCAATAACAGACAAACAGAGAGCCAAATCATGAGTGAACTCCCATTCACAATTGCTTCAAAGAGAATAAAATACCTAGGAATCCAACTTACAAGGGATGTGAAGGACCTCTTCAAGGAGAACTACAAAACCACTGCTCAATGAAATAAAAGAGGATACAAACAAATGGAAGAACATTCCATGCTCATGGGTAGGAAGAATCAACATCGTGAAAATGGCCATACTGCCCAAGGTAATTTATAGATTCAATGCCATCCCCATCAAGCTACCAATGACTTTCTTCACAGAATTGGAAAAAACTACTTTAAAGTTCATATAGAATCAAAACAGAGCCCGCATTGCGAAGTCAATCCTAAGCCAAAAGAACAAAGCTGGAGGCATCACACTACCTGACTTCAAACTATACTACAAGGCTACAGTAACCAAAACAGCATGGTACTGGTACCAAAACAGAGATATAGACCAATGGAACAGAACACAGCCCTCAGAAATAATGCCGCATATCCACAACTATCTGATCTTTGACAAACCTGACAAAAACAAGAAATGGGGAATGGATTCCCTATTTAATAAATGGTGCTGGGAAAACTGACTAGCCATATGGAGAAAGCTGAAACTGGATCCCTTCCTTAAACCTTATACAAAAATTAATTCAAGATGAATTAAAGACTTAAATTTTAGACCTAAAACCATAAAAACCCTAGAAGAAAACCTAGGCAATACCATTCAGGACACAGGCATGGGCAAGAACTTCATGTCTAAAACACCAAAAGCAATGGTAACAAAAGCCAAAATTGACAAATAGGATCTAATTAAACTAAAGAGCTTCTGCACAGCAAAAGAAACTACCATCAGAATGAACAGGCAACCTACAGAATGGGAGAAAAGTTTTGCAATCTACTCATCTGACAAAGGGCTAATATCCAGAATCTACAATAAACTGAAAGACATTTACAAGAAAAAAACAAACAACCCCATCAAAAAGTGAGCGAAGGATATGAACAGACACTTCTCAAAAGAAGACATTTATGCAGCCAAAAGACACATGAAAAAGTGCTCATCATCACTGACCATCAGAGAAATGCAAATCAAAACCACAATGAGATACCATCTCACACCAGTTAGAATGGAGATCATTAAAAAGTCAGGAAACAACAGGTGCTGGAGAGGATGTGGAGAAATAGGAACACTTTTACACTGTTGGTGGGACTGTAAACTAGTTCAACCATTGTGGAAGTCAGTGTGATGATTCCTCAGGGATCTAGAACTAGAAATATCATTTGACCCAGCCATCCCCATTACTGGGTATATACCCAAAGGATTATAAGTCATGCTGCTATAAAGACACATGCACATGTATGTTTACTGTGGCACTATTCACAATAGCAAAGACTTGGAACCAACCCAAATGTCCAACAATGACAGACTGGATTAAGAAAACGTGGCACATATACACCATGGAATACTATGCAACCATAAAAAATGACCCTCTTCCCTCTTCCCTCTCCCTCTTTGCACTGTCTCCCTCTGATGCCAAGCCGAGGCTGGACTGTACTGCCGCCATCTCGGCTCACTGCAACCTCCCTGCCTGATTCTCCTGCCTCAGCCTGCCCGGTGCCTGGGATTGCAGGCGCGCGCCACCACGCCTGACTGGTTTTCGTGTTTTTGGTGGAGACAGGGTTTCGCCGTGTTGGCCGGGCTGGTCTCCAGCTCCTGACTGCGAGTGATCTGCCAGCCTTGGCCTCCCAAGGTGCCGGGATTGCAGACGGAGTCTCGCTCACTCAGTGCTCAATGTTGCCCAGGCTGGAGTGCAGTGGCGTGATCTCGGCTCGCTACAACCTCCACCTCCCAGCCGCCTGCCTTGGCCTCCCAAAGTGCAGAGATTGCAGCCTCTGCACGGCTGCCACCCCGTCTAGGAAGTGAGGAGCGCCTCTGCCTGGCCGCCCATCGTCTGGGATGTGAGGAGCCCCTCTGCCCGGCTGCCCAGTCTGGGAAGTGAGTAGCGCCTCTTCCCAGCCGTCATCCCGTCTAGGATGTGGGGAGCGCCTCTGCCCCGCCGCCCTGTCTGAGATGTGAAGAGCGCCTCTGCCCAGCCGCGACCCCGTCTGGGAACTGAGGAGTGTCTTTGCCCCGCCGCCACCCTGTCTGGGAGGTAAGGAGCATCTCTGACCGGCCGCCCCGTCTGAGAAGTGAGGAGCCCCTCCGCTCGGCAGCTGCCCCGTCTGGGAAGTGAGGAGCCCCTCCGCCCGGCAGCCACCCCGTCTGGGAGGTGTACCCAACAGCTCATTGAGAACGGGCCATGATGACGATGCAGTTTTGTCGAATAGAAAAGGGGGAAATGTGGGGAAAAGAAAGAGATCAGATTGTTACTCTGTCTGTGTAGAAAGAAGTAGACATAGGAGACTCCATTTTGTTCTCTACTAAGAAAAATTCTTCTGCCTTGGGATGCTGTTAATCTATAAACCTTACCCCCAACCCTGTGCTCTCTGAAACATGTGCTGTGTCCACTAAGGGTTAAATGGATTAAGGGCGGTGCAAGATGTGCTTTGTTAAACAGATGCTTGAAGGCAGCATACTCCTTAAGAGTCATCACCACTCCCTAATCTCAAGTACCCAGGGACACAAACACTGCGGAAGGCGGAAGGCGGCAGGGCCCTCTGCCTAGGAAAACCAGAGACCTTTGTTCACATGTTTATCTGCTGACCTTCCCTCCACTATTGTCCTATGACCCTGCCAAATCCCCCTCTCCGAGAAACACCCAAGAATGATCAATAAATACTAAAAAAATTAAAAAAAAATTTATTGTATGTTAATTACATCTCAATAAAGCTGTTTTAAAAATTATAAAAAATCAAAACCATACACCCACATATATAATGAATATAGATTTTAAAACAATAAATCTAATGCCTGGAACTCTTAAAAAAATAAAAAAATAAAAAATAAAAAAATAAAAAATGATGAGTTCATGTCCTTTGTAGGGACATGGATGAAGCTGGAACCATCATTCTCAGCAAACTGTCACAAGGACAAAAAACCAAACACCACATGTTCTCACTCATAGGTGGGAATTGAACAATGAGATCACATGGACACAGGAAGGGGAACACCACACACCGGGGCCTATTGTGGGGTGGGGGGAGTGGGGAGGGATAGCATTAGGAGATATACCTAATGCTAAATGACGAGTTAATGGGTGCAGCATGCAGCACACCAACATGGCACATGTATACATATGTAACAAACCTGCACATTGTATACCTGTACCCTAAAACTTAAAGTATAATAAAAAAAAAAAAGCAGAGAAAAACAGCACGTGTTCATTATAGATTCTAAGCTTACCGGGATTTTATATTTAGCCTCAATTTAGTAAAAAAGAAATGTGCTAAATTCAATTTGGCTCCAATTTTAGCCTTTAATATTATAAAAACCATCAGACAATATGCCATGACATGGTAAAAACGATGTACAGTTAATTATCAAAGCCAAGCAGGTCTTTAAACAGAAAAGTAAAAGCAATTATTCTGGTAATGAAAAAAAAAATTACTAACCAAAATTAGTAAATAAATCATTTATAAATTTTTTTTATCCTTATTCACAAATAATCTATTATACTACCTTGTCATCTGGCACTCGCTAGAAACAAGACAGGGTTAACAATTTACCATGCAAATTTCACACTGAACATAAGTTTTCAAGAATCAGAATACCACAAAATACTGCAATGCAACGAGACCTGGGGCAATTGCTCAGAAAATCTGAATTCTAACACTTGTTCTAGCACTAACCTGTACTCCAACCCCAGTGTCTCAGTTTCCTAGTATGGAATAATTTATTCCATCCACTTATTCTATTAGTTAAGGGAATTTGCATGTACCTGACAGTGCTTTGGAAAACATAATACATAAAATGTAAGAAATTATTATACTGAATATAATTTATTCTTTCCTTGACGATTCGATGGACTTTTAAAATGAATGCCATGAAATTAATAATTTAATTTTTATGATTTTTTAAGGCATGAAGGACTCAAGATTGAACAAACAAGCTGGCGTATCAGTGAAGAAAGTACTGAGAAACTACAGGATTCTAGATGTTTCTAAATGCTGATAATGACAAAAGAATGATGAAAGTCCTACATGCGTAGTCTCTTAGACTTATAGTGAACCAAACTTTTGGCTTCACGTATCAAACCTCTAAAAACAAAAGCACCTGGACATGGTGGTTCATGCCTGTAATCGCAAAACTTTGGGAGGCCAAGGTGGGAGAATCTCTTGAGGCCAGGAGTTCATGACCAGTCTAGGCAACACAGTGAGACAACATCTCTATTTTTTTTAAATGTAACAAAAAATAAATACATTTAATAATAAAAACAAAAGCAAAAGTAACATGGAGTATATACATGACTTTACTCTGAAAGCTTACAGTTGACTTAAAGGAAGATCAAAATCTTGCGGACATGTAGCATTTAGCTCAAACTTTATAACACAAAACTACCTGTGGGGTACCTTGTTAAAGGGCAATACAAATCAAGAATTGATATTATTTTATTATGAAACAGACCAAGTGCCTCTTTGTAAAAGCTTCAAGTTCAGATAAAAGTTTTTACATCTTGTGGAACTTTCCATAAAATAATAACCAGAACAGGTACAGTGGCTCACACATTTTGGGAGGCTGAGGCAGGTGGATAACTTAAGGCCAGGAGTTTGAGACCAGCCTGGGCAAAACCTGTGTCTACTAAAAATACAAAACTTAACTGGGCGTGGTAGCTCATGCCTGCAATCCCAGATACTCAGGAAGCTGAGGCATGAGAATTGCTAGAACCTGGGAGGCAGAGGCTGCAGTAAGCCGAGATCCTGTCACTGCACTCCAGCCTCCAGCCTGAGCAACAGAGCAAGACTTTGTCTCAAAAAAAGTAAATAATAACCTAACAGATCTTTTAAGGCAATGTAGCCCACTGAAATACTCATGAGATAGGTGTTCAATTATTCTCTAATTCAATTTGGATAGCTTTACTCCAAACAAATCTAATAAGGTATAGATTTGTTATTTAGCATTTGAAGAGTTAAATAGAAGAGTTCATAAAATGGTATAGATTTGAAGAACAAAAATGGTTAAAGTAACAGCCACATAGTTTCAGCTGAAGGACCTACACATTTATTTCAGTCTACTGTTGAGAAAATTTTAGAAGATTACTTTTGATGCCTTAACCTTTAAATTGTCCCTTATTTTAAATTGCTATTACATGCTGTGCTCAGAATTCCACAGTCCAACTCTGGTTAGCAAATAAAATCATCCCCTATGAAATGGCCCCTTGAACTAAGTAAGTGTGTGCTGACCTACTTTGCTAAGATACAAGAAGAAGGGCTTGCTGGAGTGTATGTATTTTGCCTTTTTGTCCACTTTGGCTGGTAGACTTTAGGCTGTTAGAAGAGCCTTACTTAATGACATCTTTTGGTCTCCTCCACACTGTGTTTATTCAATAATGTTTAATACTTAGATTTCACAACATCTGAAATATATTTCTCTCAGTAGCTGCCCTATAACTTATGCAATTGATAGTTTCCCCCCTTTTCCCCACCTCTCCCAAAATGACCCATTCCATCGTAGTAGCCTCAGTGTTGTAGAAGAAAAGAGAGAATTTGGGGAGACAAAACAGATATGACACAATGACAATAAATCAGCCATGTCCACTGTATACCATGGACATGTTTATAGTTGTTCACTGAGGATATGAAATATAATACTGTTTTATACATTTCATGGAGAGTCCTGGCACCAGCAACATCAGCTAATTCTGCCTCCCCTTCCCCAAGCCTCCAATTGAGTCATTTTGTGACAGAATATATGTAAATATTTAGTGATCAAGAAATCTAAACAATCATTCATTATGGCAAAAAAAAAAAAACTAGAAAAAGAATCTAAAAGCTCTAGAGTAGAAATTGATTAAATATATTGTACAACAGAATACCAAGCCTCTGCCACAGACTGTACTGTATTTCCATATCTATAGTAATACATATTTATAGCTTTGTCACATAAACAGGTTACAAACAAAATGTATTACTTTTGTAAACACATATTACAAATATCCACAGGGAAAAAAGGGTTAACTTCTTAACCCTTACCTCTGGGTAATAGAATTATGAAATAAATTTCTGCTTTACTTTTTTTTCAGTATTTTCTAATTTCTCTGATAAACATATATTACTTGCATTTAGAAGGGGAAAGGATTTTTTCCCCCAAACATACTCTATGTTTTTGAACATGTAGTCTGCTTTGTAAATTTAAAAATACGTGTTTCCTTCATTAGCTTTCTTAAAAAATATAAAATGAGCTTGCAGATTTCTCTAAATAATAGGAATCTTGGCTTTCTGTGTATAATTATGTTCCCAAATTCTTCATATTCCCAAGACATAATGGTCCAGGCGTACAAGCCAAACCACCAAAAAAGATGAAGCTGAAATCTGAATCCAAGTGCATAAAGCAACTCCAGTCTCAGATATTTCCCATCATTCCAGAGGGAAAACAATAAGCTATTAGCTTTACAATTGTTCTATTATCTAGATTTCCTTCAATATCCATCCATCCAGGCTGCTGCAAAACAGCAAAGCCTTTAAAAAAAAACTCTGCAGGTTGTCATTACAATAAAAACTAATATAATAGCTCTACTGATAACTAATCACTATTGTTTTTCCCATGGGATTTCATTCTTAGTACTAATTACCAAAAACTCGGGAGATGATCTACTCCCACTCAACTGACTAACTGCCCCTCTGAGTCCGAACCAGCAGGACTATTTTAATATTTGCCTAGTTAATCTGTAGAACTTGGACACGGATTCACTCCAGCAGTACTCAAGAATGGAGGACCTAATCAATGTTTCCAAATTCCATTAGCTCTCACATGAGCTGATGCACACAGTACTGATCTCATCTGCCCTGAGAAGCCTGGGAAAGTCTAACACAGGCTATTTCTATCACACAACACTCACTTCCTTTCCCTTCTTCCTATCTTTTTCAAAATGAGAGCTAAAATTCTTCTAATTTGCTCCTCATTTAGCTAGAATAAAAATATTGCATGTGCCCTGGAATCCATCATAAAAGTAAGTTAAAACTGTAAAAAGCCAGATGGCTTAGGAAAAGGGTGAGGCCGTGCTTTACTATCCTCTGCTTTTTAAGAATCTTTGATGCCATATTCTAAAGCATACCCACAGTGCCCAGCTTACTAAAACTACCTCTATCTACTCACCTATAAAGTAAAAGTAATCCTGCATTCTTCTGGGGAGTAAGAAAGATCAGAAAACTGACATGGAATTTAGTAGGGGCATAGCAGCAGGGGATTTTGAAAGCATCTATGGGAGAAAAAGTTCTGATCCTTCTTTTCCTCCCTTTCCTACAGAAAATCCAACAGTGATCAGTCAAGAGCTGGCGATGGGGGTAGGAGTGGCAACTGCAGGTTGGGGAGGTGGCAGAGCCAGTGTCAGAACAGACGAACGAGGTCACCCTGCCCCACCACTCCTTGATCCCTCCTCATCCCTGTCTCTCCTCATACCCCCAGGATTAAGCAAGCATAAACTAAAAAGGCTGCCCGAGGAAGTCATTCCATCAGGCTCTCAAGTTCACATACCCGTCAGAACCCAGGCACATTAAATCAACCTGGATCACAGAGAATATGCAGTCGTCAGGACTGTGGCAAACAGGATAGGGCAAGCCATACCTAGTGCAGTTAAAGTTCAATTTTTTAAGGGGCAAAAATAAACAAAAAACATGCAAGCTGAATCTGGCCCACGGGATTGCCCCTTGCAACTTCACTTGCTCTCTCATTCATTATATCTAATCATGAATTCCTGGAGATCCTATCTTGAAGGCTCTCTCAAACTGTTCCCTTTTCCCTATTCCCATTTGCTTCTGCTTTAGTTTCTGCCTCCAGCCTGGCTCAACTGCAACCCTCTGCCACACTACCATGAGATCTAGTTCATAATCTGATCTCTTCACTTGAGGCTTAAGCTCCCCACAGCTCTCAAGATGATGTTCAGATGCCTTGACTTAGCTCCAAGGCCTTCCATGACACGGCCTATTTATTTACCTGTATTTTTCAGCCTTGCCCTACAAGCTCTGGGCCTGTATCATATCCATACTCAAGTGTTCCAGTAGATTCCCACACAAACCAGTCATTTCATACCTTGCAAGTTGTTCCTTCTGCCTGGAATATTCTTCCTACCTTATACCTTCCTTTGTCCTTTCATTTGCTTTGGAATCTCTAGAGCCTAATGCATAGTACACACTTAATAGATGTTTCCTGAATACCTAATTAAATGAGAATGCAAAGGAGATGACTTATGGTTCCAGAACATGGACCCAGTGATGCGTATCTCCTTTATATATCAAGCACATAAAAATCTACATAAAATATAACTGCTGACATTTTAATACCATAATCAGTTTCAAAATAAAGAAAAAGAATTTCTCATGTGTCAAAAGAAGAAAAATCTCAAATTCAGAGTAGAAAAGATACAAGTTAACACTTATATCCCACAGGGATATCAGACTTGGACTCTAGCTGCTAGGGGTTGGGGACTTAAGATCCCAGCCAGGGCAGAGGACTGAAACTTAGACCTTGAATAAAGCAAGAATCTCTCTAAGACCAGAAAAACTGGATCCATGAAACTGACACACAATGATACAGAGTCCAGATTTATACTATCTGCGTAGTGTGAAATTTCCAAGCCAAGAAATTAAGGTAAATATAAAAGAAAAATAAATATAAATAGCTCCTTAAAGGCGCTTCAAAAAGCAATGGTTCATAGGACTCCCATGGAAAAAGTAATCTTTGCTGAGGATGAGCAAATAATTGAAAATTATGAATCACACAAGGAAATGATCCACCATGAGGGAGATTTGCCAGGTGTGACAAACAGGAAGTTTACCAAACCATGAATTTGATCATATAAAACAGGTTTGAAGAGGCTATGAAATAAAGAATTGAAACCACAATGTAAAAACAAGACATGATTTTTTTCTTAAAGATAGATGTGTTTAAAGAAGGTACGGAGAAACCCTAGGTTCTCTCCTCTGGCCTGTGACCCACTGATACTTCAGGAGGAAAGAAGAGAGAGCAACATGTTAAAAGCAGATCAAAAGAGGAAGTGAAATCAGCAAAAAAATAAAGTATATAAATATAAAGACAACTGACAAATTTTGTCAAGCCCCAAGGATCTCAACAATCTAGCACCCACATCTTTTTTGGGGGGTGAAAAGGGAAATAAAAAACTGAATCCAGTTAATTGAAAGATGAATCAGATTTCCAAAAAGGTATTTCACTGGACATATACATTCTATCTCACTGTCTCCAAAAACTCCTCTGAAATGGTAGTAAAAAGATTTTCTTTTTTAAAAAAAGGGACAAGAAATCAAAACAGTCGAAGAGAACAGAAGAGAAGAGAACAGAAGAGGAGAAAACAGGGACACGATTTCGGAAGTTGGGAAGCACATGAATCAGTGGTGACGGATCTGGCAGGCCCAAAACAAGGAGCCCTAAGCCAGCAAAGGGGAAAGAAGCATTCTGATTTACATAACACTAAATATTTCCTCTAGCCTTAAAAGTATGAGGAATTGGTGGCATCAAGTACCTTGGAAATGGTGTGAAAGTGGAGTTAAAAGACCACTTAATAAGTTTCTCTAGATTCTCACTTTGTACAGCTGAGCAACTGCCTCTTCCCCACACCATAGAATACTGAAGTTTATCCTCTGGAAAAGAGACATGGAGAGTTTCTAGAGTAGTGGACATTAAACACAGTTGAAAGCAGTGGTATCTGACTAAAAACAAGGGACAAAGTGAAAGTTGCAAAAAGATTAAGTAGGATCTGCCCTTGCCTTTTACCTTCTTAGGCACCCAGAATAACTTGCAGGTTAATGATCAGATGAATTTTTTTCTAGAAATACCCAAGATTTTAAGAAAAAAGACTTAAGGATACTGATCATCTTACACTGAAACCATATAAACAAGCTCACCTCATGCAAAGAGTTTCCAAACAGTTTTATTTGTGCCTACTTTAAAATATGAAAAAAAATCACCAGGTATCTGAAGAAACTCTCTAATAAATATAAAAGCCAGAGATGAAGATAAAAAACAAACAAACTAAAAGAACTTGGAAAACAGACTATGAAAAACTATTACTAACATTTTCAAAGACATAAGGTATCAAAAAAGAACAAGATGGTACCACAAAAAGGAGAGAGAATTTTAAAAAGAGAGCTCCTGTAAATTCCTAGTCAATATGAACAATTCAATAGGAACAATAGAAAAAGTTGAAAAAAAATTTCAGATGTGAAACAAAATGAAAGATGGAAAATTGAGAGAAGAGAATAATAAAAAAGCAATCTAGAAGCCCAAGATCTGAATAGCAGGAGTTCAAGAAAATCCAAGAAAAAAACAAACAAAGATTTAGAAATATTTTAAATCTAAAAAGAGAAAATTTAAAAAAATTATCAGAACTAAAGGAGACATGAGTTGGCAGACTGAAAGTTCATCAAATGTCCAAAAACAATGGCTGAAAGTACACTTTCTGTTATTACCATTCCACACTAATTAATTTTTTTAAAAAGGATAAGAAGATCTTGAAGAATGCTCCAGCCCCATCCTGCTTTTCACTTTCTGGTTGTACTTCCCTCCATCTCACCCCAACCAGAAGGGCTAGTCTCCATCCTTGACCTTCCTTATTAGGACTTTTGTCCCTAACCAGAAGAGCTACTGAGGACCTAAAGCACAAGGACAATGTTCCTGATATCCAAAAGTAGAGTTTTGATTGTACTTCCAATCACAACCTTGTAATGGGCAATAGTGCCTCCTTAACACTAAAGAAGTGATGAGAACAATAACACCATAAACTTTACATACATGTTATGTAAAATAATCGTTCCCTCCAGCTTTTCTAAGGCAATTCAGATTTCAAACATATTTTTCCCTTCTCTCATACACCATCAAAATGTCCTAGAGGATGCAATATTTCAGTTTCTAAATGACTTCTCTCTTAGCATGTTTCTGCTACCCAGTAGTAGTTACAAATTCTTGATCAGATATGTGCTGACGATTTTTACTCAGAAGCATGGCCACTATAAATAACCTGAGGACTTTGGAAGGCTGACTGGGGCACCCAGTCACCACGCCTAACAAAGATAATCAAAAGCAACTAGGCTGAGCATGGTGGCTCACACCTGTAATCCCAGCACTTTAGGAGGCCAAGGCAGGCAGATCACCTGAGGTCAGGAGCTCAAGACCAGCCTGGCCAACATGGCGAAACCCCATTTCTACTAAAAATACAAAAATTAGCCAGGCATGGTGGAGCATGTAGTCCCAGCTACTCAGGACGTTGAGAATCTCTTGAACCCGGGAGGTGGAGATTGCAGTGAGCCGAGGTCGTGCTACTGCACTCCAGCCTGGGCGACGGAGTGAGACTCCATCTCACCAAAAAAAAAAAAAAAAAAAAAAAGCAACTAATTTAAAGTATGTTTTTGGTTTTTAAGTTGGAGACTTTCTAGTGTTGGTAACAAATTGATAGGCTGAAAGAAAAGAACACAATTTCTTGATTAATATAACATATTCTAAAAACTAACTATACTGAAGTTTTTTTTAAAATTTTATTTTACTTTAAGTTACAAGATACACGTGCAGAGCATGCAGGTTTGTTACGTAAGTATACATGTGCCATGGTGGTCTGCGGTACCTATTAACCCATCATCTAGGTTTTAAGTACCACATGCATTTGTTATTTGTCCTAATGCTCTCTCTCCTCTTGCCCCCATACCCCCGACAGGCCCCGCTGTGTGTTGTTCCCCTCCCTGTGTCCATGTGTTCTCCTTGTTCGACTCCCACTTATGAGTGAGAAGATGAGGTATTTGGTTTTCTGTTCCTGTGTTAGTTTGCTGAGGACGATTACTTCCAGCTTCATCCACGTCCCTGCAAAGACATGATCTAATTCCTTATTATGGCTGCATAGTATTCCATGGTATATATGTACTACATTTTCTTTATCCAGTCTATCATTGATGGGCATTTGGGTTGGTTC
Organism: Homo sapiens; assembly: GCF_000001405.40. Classification (NCBI taxonomy): domain Eukaryota; kingdom Metazoa; phylum Chordata; class Mammalia; order Primates; family Hominidae; genus Homo; species Homo sapiens. The sequence continues at coordinate 50,365,855 of NC_000010.11, forward strand.
CATGTCTTTGCTATTGTAAATGGTACTGCAATAAACATGTGTGCATGTGTCTTTATACTAGAATGATTTATATTCCTTTGGGTATATACCCAGTAATATACTGGGTCAAATGGTAAAATATGCTGGGTCAAATGGTGTAAGTAATATGTTGGGTCAAAAGGTGTAAGTAATATGTTGGGTCAAATGGTGAAAAGCAACTGCAATAAAAGCCAAAATTGATGAATGGGATCTGATTAAACTAAAGAGTTTCTCCACAGCAAAAGAAACTATCATCAGAGTGAACAGGCAACCTACAGAATGGGAGAAAATTTTTGCAATCTACCCATCTGACAAAGGTCTAATATCCAGAATCTACAAGGAACTTAAACAAATTTATAAGAAAAAAAAATCCCATCAAAAAGTGGGCAAAGCAGTTAGAGTGGCGATCATTAAAAAGTCAGAAAACAATAGATGCTGGAGAGGTTGTGGAAAAATATAAACGCTTTTACACTGTTGGTGGAAGTGTAAATTAGTTCAACCATTGTGGAACACAGTGTGGTGATTCCTCAAGGATCTAGAACTAGAAATGCCATTTGACCCAGCAATCCCATTACTGGGCATATACCCAAAGGATTATAAATCATTCTACGATAAAGACACATGCACACGTATGTTTATTGTGGCACTATTCACAATAGCAAAGACTTGGAACCAACCCAAATGTCCAACAATGATAGACTACATTAAGAAAATGTGGCACATATACACCATGGCAAACTATGCAGCCATAAAAAAGGATGAGTTCATGTCCTTTGCAGGGACATGGATAAAGCTGGAAACGATCATTCTCAGCAAACTATCAGAAGATCAGAAAACTAAACACCATGTGTTCTCACTCATAAGTGAGAGTTGAACAATGAGAACACATGGACACAGGGAGGGGAACATCACACACCGGAGCCTGTTGGAGGGTGGGGGGCTAGGGGAGGGATAACATTAGGAGAAATATCTAATGTAGGTGATGGGTTGATGGGTGCAGCAAACCACCATGACATGTGTATACATACCTATGTAACAAAACTGCACGTTCTGCACATGTAACCCAGATCTTGAAGTATAATTTTTAAAAAAGTGGGCAAAGGATATGAACAGACACTTCTCAAAAGAAGATATCTATGCAGCCAATAAACATATGAAAAAAAGCTCAACATCACTGATCATTGGAGAAATGCAAACCAAAACCATAATGAGATACCATCTCATGCCAGTCAGAATGAAGTTAAGTTTTGCAGTCCACTGAGGATTATAAATTCTCATTAGCTGGGTAACCAATGGTTTTCCATTTCACTGAGAAAAAGTCTACCAAAGTATGCTTATAAAAATAAATTGGAGTGACTGAGGTAAAAAGCCTAATTTAAGGAACACAACCCTAGGGACTAACATCAAGTTTCAAAATTAGCAACAACTCACAGGCCCAGATAGGAGAAATCAAGTTCAAGTCTACCTCCCAAAATAAATTTCTAATACTTATTTAGATAGCTACAAAAGATCAAACTATTTTCAGACTAGAGAACATGCAAAGGGATAAATTCTAAATTCATGGCGCTTAAATGTATATCCTTTGAGCATTCCTCGCCATGACAGCACCACTTGCGTGCCCACCATGTTCTTTGCTCCCATATATGGTTCTCCCTGTCTCCTTCTGCTGGTCTCCTGGAGGTAAAAAAAGAATCAAAAGATTTTAAGAAAAGCACATGTAGATCTCTACCTAGATCTCCACACCAGTCCCTACCCTTAATGCATTAAGGTTTTCTTTTCCTGACAGCAATTACGTTAATTCTTTGAAAACAAATATCCATCAATCAATTCATTACATCCTTTCCACTCACCGCTGACTGTGACTTCTTGCTTCTAACTAAGATGTGCTAATTTCCCAAACTTCCAGGTCCCACTTTCACTGAGCTTCTCTATTAACTAACTGCTGGTTAAAAGCACCAAAGTTTGGCTCCCTAGAGGATAATCCTTATCCATGAAGTAGGTCACCACTGGATCACAGGATCAGGTTGTAAAGTGACCACAGCTCTAGTTTTGGACTAAGGTAAAATACCACCAGGGGGCAACGCAAAGTCTGTGAAATTACACACTCATCCCAGTGCCCTTCTCAAGTTATACAGCATCTTAGAGATAGCTTCCAATAGATGTCCTGGGACCAAGTGACAAAACTATGTAATGGAATTGCAAGAACTAGAACCCCTGTTTTCTGAGCCATCAACTGATGTGCTCTCCTCTATATCCATGTGATTTTAATGTGCATTTAGTGACTCTACAATTAGTTGTTTCCATAGTTTTTCATGCAAACATACTGCATATCTAAGCTATCTTGCAGTCATACAAGACCATATCTAGGACACTTCAAAGAAATACAAAAGCTTAAAAATTAAACAGCATGTTGTTTTCTAGAAGGACTAATCTCAAAACCATCACTACAAATATTTATTCTTGCTTTATACTAATTTTTTTATTTTTTATTTTTTACTTTTTGAGCCGGAGTCTCGATCTGTCACCCAGGCTGGAGTGCAATGGTGCGATCTTGGCTTACTGCAACCCCTGCCTCTCGGGTTCAATCAATTCTCCTGACTCAGCCTCCCGAGTAGCTGGGATTACTGGCACCTGCCATCATGCCCAGCTAATTTTTGTATTTTTGTAGAGACAGGGTTTCACCATGCTGGCCAGGCTGGTCTTGAACTCCTGACCTCAGGTGATCTGCCCTCCTTGGCCTCCCAAAGTGTTGGGATTACAGGCGTGAGCCACTGCACCCAGCCAATACTAAATTTTAATGAGCTTTCTTCTCTCACTTCCATAACTATAATTCAACATAACAAAACTAGAGCCTTGCAATTAATCAATGACCACTGAACTGTAAAGAAATTATATAAATTATGTAAGTTTTCAAATTAGTTAACCAAAGGCATTATAAAACAATTTGTAAAATAGATAAAAGATTTGAACAAACACGGCCAAGGCTATTTTGCATTAGGTCAAATAAATACTTTACTCTTAGAAAGCCTTGATTATATATTACTGTGGAATGTTACACTTAAAGAACCAAGGTTCAAAATAAGTTATACATAAAAGTGTTCACAAGTTCACAAGCATTTATGAAGTCTCCAACATTAACGTATATATAACATCAAACATATGAACCATAGCTTTCAATAAATTATGATTAAAAACCTGTAGACAAAATACTCCATAAACAAGCCTAAAAGATAAATGACAACAGGGGACAGAATATTTAAAAAATCCATCATACACTGTAAATATGAAGAGCAGATATTTTCTTAAAAATCTGATAAGAAAAAGACTTTACACAAAGATTACAGGTCAGGTGCAGTGGCTCACATCTGTAATCTCAACACTTTGGGTGGCCAAAGCAGGAGTATTGTTTGAGCCTACGAGTTCAAGACCAGCCTGGGCAACATGGCAAGACCCTGTCTCTACAAAAAATTTAAAAATTGGCCCAGTGTGATGGCACATGCTTATGGTCCCAGCTACTTGGTAGGCTGAGGCAGGAGGATCCCTTGAGCCTGGGAAGTTGAGGCTGCAGTGAGCCATGTTTGTGCCACTGCACTCTATTCTGGGTGACAGAGTGAGACTCTGTCTGAAAAAGTAAAATAAAAATAAAAATTACAAATAGGTCAATCACATACATATGCCAAAAAAAAAAAGCAAACAAAAAATCCCATCAACAAATGTGGAGGAAAAAAGTTCAATCTCACTAGTTACAAAAAAATGAAAGACATATTAAAACAACAGCAAGATGCCATTCTTTAGCTATCAAGATGGCAAAGATGAAAAAGGGCTGCACTGAAAAGAACCAGTTTCAACAAAGATCCAAGTTCTGCCAATTCTACCTCTTAAGTATATCATAAATCCATCTACAGTCATGTGTCACTTCACGACGAGATACCTTCTAAGAAATGCATCATTAGGTGATTTTGTCATGGTGTGAACATCACAGAAAATGTATCTGGACAAACCTAGATGGTGTAACCTATTACATACCTAGGCTGTATGGTATAGCCTATTGCTTCTAGATTAAAAACTTGTACAGCATTCTACTGTACTGATTATTGTAAGCAACTGTAACATAATGGTAAGCTTTGTGTATCTAAATGCAGAAAAGGTACTGTAAAAATATGGTATAAATAATAAAAATTGGACACCTATAAAGGGCACTTACCATGAATGGAGCTCGCAGGACTGGAAGTTGCTCTGGGTGAGTCAGTGAGTAAAGTGGTGGGTGAGTATGAAGGCCTAGGACATTACTGTACACTACTGCAGACTGTCAACACTGCACACTTAGGGTACACTGAATTTATTTAAAAGTTTTTCTTTCTTCAATAATAAATTAACTTTATCTTACTGTAACATTTTACCTTATAAATTTTCTAATTTTTAAAATGTTTTGACTCCTTTGTAATAACACTTAGCTTAAAACACAAACGCATTATACAGCTGTATAAAAACATTTTCTTTATATCCTTATTCTATAGGCTTTTTTCTATTTTTTAAATTTTAATTTTTTTTTTACTTAAAAAATTTTTTTTTTTTAAACAAAGACACAAGCCAGGCATGGTGGCTCACACCTGTAATCTCAGCACTTTGGGAGCCTGAGGTGGGCTGATCATGAGGTCAAGAGATTGAGACCAGCCTGGCCAACATGGTGAAACCCTGTCTCTACTAAAAATACAAAAATTAGCTGGGTGTGGTGGTGCATGCCTGTAATCCCAGCTACTCAGGAGTCTGAGGCAGGAGAATCACTTGAACCCAGGAGGCAACGTTTGCAGTGAGCCGAGATCGTGCCACTGTACTCCAGTCTGGCGACAGAGCGAGACTCCATCTCAATAAAAAAAAAAAAAAAGACACAAACATACACATTAGCCTAGGCCTGCACAGGGTCAGGATCATCAATATTACTGTTTTCCACCTTCCACATCTTGTCCCACCAGAAGGTCTTCGGGGCAATAACATGCATGAAGCTGTCATCTCCTGTGATAATGATGCCTTCCGGAATTCCTCCTGAAGGACTTGCTTTATAGTTAACTTTTTAAAATACATAAGTAGAAGGAGCACATTCTAAAATAATGATAAAAGGTACACCATAGCAAATACATAAACCATTAACAGAGCCAAATACTATCATTATCAAGTGTTATGTAAGGTACATAATTATATATGCTATGCTTTTATACGGATGGCAGTGCAGTAGGTTTGTTTAGACCAGCATCATCACAAATGTGAGTAATGTGTTGCACTAGGATGTTAGGACAGCTATTACACCAGTAGGCTATATAGGTTTTTTCATCTGTGTTATAATCATTTGGGACCACCATTGTACAGATAATTTGTCATTGACCAAAATGTCGTTATGCCACGCATGACTCTCCTTTCCATTGTAACCACCATGGTTCAGGTGGCATTACATTTCATCAGAATTACTGCCAAAGCTTCCTCAATACTGCTCCCGTACACACCCTATCCCATCCAAACCCAAACTGCACAAGGCAGCAAGAGAACTTTTAAAACTGTGTAATTCTCATCTTTGAATTATTGCAGTAACTTCCCACTGTTCTTAAAATAAAACCCACACTTCATTATTTCATATTGTACAAGACCATTCCTGCCTTTGTATGGTGGAGTTCTACAACTGCACACTATACTTCAATTACTTTGGACTACTTGTAGTTCCTACCTCACAGACTTTGAACATGCTATTGTCTCCACCTAGAACACCTCCACCCTATGTTTCACATGATGGGCTTCCAGTCAATATTCAGGCCTCCACTCCCATGTCGTCTCTTCAAATAAGCCTTCTCTGAGCATCCTCTCTGACTTAGTACATTCTGTGCTGCTGTAACAGAATTGAAGGCTAGGAAGTTCAATCTCAAGGGACTGGCATCTAGTGAGGGCCCTCTTGCTACGTCATCCCATGGTGGAAGGCAAAAGGGCAAAGAGGGGGTGAGCTCATCCTTTTATATAAGGGAACCATTCCTGTGATAATGGCATTAATCCATTCATGAAGGAAGAGCCCTCCTGTTTGAACCACTTCTTAAAGGTCACACCTCAGAACACATTGCATTCAGGATTAAGTTTCCAACACGTGAACTCTGGGGAACACATTCAAACCACCGCACTCTTATCTATATAATCTTACTTGCTGAATGTCTTTCTGCCTTACCAGAATCAAAGCTCCATAAGGGAAGGTCCCTTGGTTGTATTTTTCATTATTGTATTCCCAGGAGCTAGCACGGTGCCCGGCACATGCTAGGCAGTCAATATAAATACGTTTCATGAACAACAAAAAGCGAATACTAGAGAAAGAAGGTGGCCAACTACGTTTGATCATAACATACTTATTAAATCTAGATTCTTCACAGTATGAGACCTATTATATTAACTTCCTTAAAACTTACTTTTCCCCAAATATAAAAAAGAACAAACCTATAAACTGGAGATTTCATCAAAGAAAATTAATTTTTAAAAATAAGTAATCTCTTAAAAAACACAGCTAATAGGCCGGGCACACGGTGGCTCACGCCTGTAATCCCAGCACTTTGGGAGGCCGGGGAGGGTGGATCACGAGGTCAGGAGATCAAGACCATCCTGGCTAACATGGTGAAACGCCATCTCTACGAAAAATATAAAAAATTAGCCGGGTATGGTGGCAGACGCCTGTAGTCCCAGCTACTCGGAGGCTGAGGCAGGAGAAAGGCGTGAACCCAGGAGGTGGAGCTTGCAGTGAGCCCAGATCATGCCACTGCACTCCAGCCCGGGTGACAGAGCAAGACTCTGTCTCAAAAAAAAACAAAAAACACACACAGCTAAGATTTTTACATGGGAAAGTATATACCTCCTTTAATCATACCATTTCTTTTTGAGATTTGCTCAAGGAGGAGAAAAAATCAGTGAGCCCTACTGGCCTTGGTAAAAAATTTCTTAAATATATAAAGGGAATCAGTCAACCTTAAGAGAAGGTCCAGAGAGGTTCCTAATTTTTTTATTCTTTGCTATAAGAAAAGGAAACTTAAATCCAAAGTCAATGCTATAATATAAAAAAAATATTCAAAACATTATTTCACATTTGTACAATGATAAAATAGTTGACTTTTTTCTTCAGATTGTATATATAGCCATCTTCCACATAAAATTTAGCCTTCATTCTTTTCAAAGCTATCAAAATCCTCCTCAGCAGTATATTTAATCAGATTTCTAAGGGTATCATCATAGGAAATACAACCTAAACACAGGCCCTTATAGATGTTTCCCAAAAGCTTTTGAAAGTATGATAATTTCCACATCCTTTACAGATGAGTTGTTCATTAATTTGTATGAGCAACTGAGACACTGGTAGGAATAATAAGATAATACAGGCACATCTGAGCAACACAGTATCAGGATGGCATGTCCTTAATTATTCCTTCCCAAACAGGTCCTACGCACTAAAATAGAACTGCAGGCATCACTGTCCTAAGTTGTCTTAACGCCCTGATCATGGAATGTTCAATTTTTCAAAATTCTGGATGCATTAATACCCAAACCATTTGATGAAAAGTCAGTTTCATATATGATGAGAGCATTATGTGATCATAACCTGAGACAGTGGCATGGCTCATTAAAAGCTTTTCAAGATTTTGTCAAATGATCTAAAGATGTAAACTGTAAGATCAAACAATTTAACTTTCAAATGTCACAGGTTACTTCAGTATAAAAGACAAATAAGGAACAAGGAAAAATACGGATTTAATTTGTAAAAGAACAAAACGTCAGTCATAAAGATAAAAACTGGAAAAATGACTAAGAGCGGCAATTATGTATTAATACCACATTGGGAGAAAAAGATTCTGTCAGTACAAGAGGTAAAAATCTAGCACCTAGAAATACCCAACAATGGCTTCTAAAATTATTTCTGGAAACTACTTTCTTACCATAAAATAACCATTAGCAGTCCCATAGGTATCTATTCCACATCTTGACCATGTGCTACTCCTATGGTAGAGGAGTCAAACTATCCACATAATATTAAGAAGCTAAGTACACATTATATAGACATCCTGTTCATTATAAGAATTTGATCAGCATTCAGAGAACAGATTATGAAAGCACTCTGGCAAAGGCATAGCCACATCAATTGCACTGAAGACACAGCTGAAATTTATCTTCTATTTATAAACCTAATGAGCTTTTCTCTTTGGCACAAAGCAGGCCAGCACTAAGCAGCTAATGACTGATTATATTAATATATATTTACAAAAGCCAAATCACTGAATCAAAATAAAATCAAACATTTACTAAGCACCTACTATGCACAAAGCATTGTCCTGGGCATTCAGTGAACCACAAAGAAACATACACCATGGTTGCTGCCTAACTAGGTTAAAACGTCCAAAACCAAATTCCTGCTCTTCTCCTCCAAGCCAACTCCTCCTGCATGCCTTCTTCAGCTTAGTAAATTGCAATTCCATTCTGTCATTTGCTCTGGCAAAGACTCCCAGCTGGTGAGTACATATGAGAGTGCACTCTCTCCAATCTGTGCTCCCCCCACCCCCACCCCCATTATCTAATCTATTAGAGCAATCCTATCAGCTTTATCTTCCAAATATATCCAGAAACCAATCACCTCTAACACTGTGTGGTCTGTTTCTACCCTTGCCTCTTTAAAATCACTTCTATGCTCAAAACCCTTTGTGCTGGATCTCACTCCAAGTAAAAAAACCAAACCTCTTTCTTACTAGGCTCCATAAGGTCCCAAGTGATCTGGTTCCTGCTACCTTCCTGACCTCATCCTCTTCCCTCCTCTTAAGAATCCTCACTCATCCAGCCTCTCCCCACTTGCCCATTCTCACTTCAACCACTCTGGCCACTGTTTCTCTAATATGCCTACTATGCTCTACCTGAGTCTTTGCACTTGAGGGCCCTTCTTCTGGAATATTCTTCCCCAGATATCCTCATAGCTCACTCCTTTGCCTACTTCAAGCCTCTGTTCAAATATCCTTAATATCAACTGAATGTCCCTTGACCACAACCTTTCATACTCTGTATTTTACTTGTTTAATGCCTTCGCAGCCCGAGGCAGGTGAAAAGTAAGATAATCTAGGATTGAGGATGGGGATAACAGAATTTGCAGAACTCAGGACAGAGGGAACAAGAAATTCTAGGGCTGTGGTCAAGACTATTAAAAAAACTGTGACCACAGGTTAGGTTAGGGAGCCTGGGCAACCAAGCAGAAAGAAGTAAGGAAGTGGGATTAGGTAATTTCCTGGAGCTTGAAAGGAGAACAGGTTTGGTGGCTGTCTTGAGGGACTGGTGATGACTACAACATAAGAGGTGGGAAGGCAGACAAGGTAGAGATTTCTGGGCTAGAACAACCTAAGAGACAAAAAGATTTAAGGGTGTGACTGGTGCTTGTTAGTCTAGTCACAGAACATTGAGCACATGGATTTGTAAAATGGGTCATGGTTGAGAACACAGAAGGCATCAAACTTGATGTAGAGAGGAGGAATTTTTAAGAGTCAGGCATTACCTTGTAGCAGGCATGGCTCATGATAGCTATCAACTGGAGTGGATTCAAATAAAGACAGGGGGTGAGAGCACTGTAATTTATTAGTTGGCCAAGGCACAAATCTTGAGAAGGAGGGTTTGGCCACCATGGGAGAAATGATCAGGGGACAAGCTGTTTTGCAGAGTGGGACACATTTCTTTCAAGACAGAATGGAAGAGAGAGGAGTCAGGTGGTATCAGATTGAGAAGGGCTTGTCCTTGTAGCTTCACAGCCTGGCTGAAGTTCCACACAGACGTGAAAGATCGGAAGTAGTATAGATGGCAGAAGGCAAACACTAGTGTGCCCAGATTAAATTATTTGATCACATGTGGAAGTGTACAGACCTCAAAACAGCAAAGCATACAAGATGTATGTAAAGACTTAGAATGATATGAAAATAAAAATAACCCTTTTTTCCCTAACTAGTTTTCCTCACATTTTTTTAAGAGATGGGGTCTCACTATGATGTCCAGGCTAGACTCAAACTCCTGGATTCAAGCAATTCTCCTGCCTCAGCCTCCGGAGTAGCTAAGACTACAAGTGAGTACTACTGCAGCCGGCATTTGTTTATTTTTACTTTTTTACTCTTATAAGTCAAAGGTTTGGTCTCATGCTTTTATTTCTTCTAATTAAAAGGTAGATTTGCTGGGCAAAATCCAAGAAATGCAAAACAAATTTGTTTTTAAGAGGTGAAAGCACTTTCACATGGCAGTTAACAATGTACCACAAGCCATGTCTTCAGAGGGGGGTATGTTCGCTGTGGTGTGGGGATAGAGGATATACACTAAAATGCACAAAAGACCACAAACAGAAATACAGGATTTTTGTTTTGAAGTGAATTACCTGTCACCAGTCCCTAAAGATGTGCCTTACTCTTGCTGGTTTCACCTTAACAGACATCTTCTTACAATTAGGAACCAGAGAGTCCCTCGACCTCCCGGCTGAGTTAGATAGGGCAACTGATTCTTTAAAGAGATTCCCCCAGATTCTATCAATGAGCATTTTTTTTAAATTATACTTTAAGTTCTAGGGTACATGTGCACAACGTGCAGATTTGTTACATATGTATACACGTGCCATGTTGGTGTGCTGCACCCATTAACTCATCATTTACATTAGGTATTTCTCCTAATGCTATCCCTCCCTGCTCCCCCAACCCCACGATAGGCCCCAGTGTGTGATGTTCCCCTTCCTGTGTTCAAGTGTTCTCATTGTTCAATTCCCACCTATGAGTGAGAACATGCGGTGTTTGGTTTTTTGGCCTTGCGATAGTTTGCTGAGAATGATGGTTTCCAGCTTCATCCATGTCCCTACAAAGGACATGAACTCATCTTTTCTTGTGGCTGCATAGTATTCCATGGTGTATATGTGCCACATTTTCTTAATCCAGTCTATCACTGATGGACATTTGGGTTGGTTCCAAGTCTTTGCTATTGTGAATAATGTCAATGGGCATTTTTTAAGATGGGCAGCTCTACAGAAACAATTTCCATGAAAAAAGGTTACTCATATCCAGAGTGAGCACAACATTAGACTAAGAAAGGCAGTAAGGAATTATCAGTTTAAGAACTTCTTGCAACAGTCTCCCTGGAAATGTTCTGATACATTCTACTTGCTGATTGTCTTAGCCTGTTTTCTGTTGCTAGAACAGAATATCTGAGACTAGGTAGTTAACAAAGAAAAAAAGTTTATTTTGGTTCATGATTCTGGAAACTGGGAAGTCCAAGCTCAGGCAGCTACATCTGGTTGGTTTCCGGTGAGGGCCTCATGCTGCATCAAAACATGTCAGAAGGCATCTCAGGGTGAGATGACTCACAAGAGAGAGCCAAACTGGCTTTTATAACGGATCCACTTTCATGATAACTAACCCACTCCCATGATAACCCATTCACCCATTAATCTATTAATTAATGAATGGGTTACTCCATTCATAAGGGCAGAGTCCTCATAACTCAATCACTTCTTAGAGGGCCCATCTCTCAATACTGTTACACTGGGAATTATCTTTCAACAAGAATTTTGGAGGGGACAAACATTCAAACTATAGCACTGATGGAAGATGTTTTCATCATGTCTTCTAATCTTTAGATGTATGCCTTTTATTACAGTAGTCACTTCTTTTCTGGTACGCCATACTTCTCAGCTAATGAGATTTTGGACTCTATCTTGAACTGCAATGGGTTGAGATTTGGGGGACCTCAGAATGATACATTAGTTTCCTGCGGCTGCTGTAACAAATAACCACAAACTGGGGGGCTTTAAACAGAAATGCATTATCAGTCTGGAGGCCAGAAGTCTGAAATCAAAGTATTAGCAGGGACATACTCCCTCTGGAGGCCCTGGGAAAGAATTTGTTCCTTGCTTCTCAATCATCTGGTGGCTACTGGCATTCCGTGGCATTCTTCGATTTGTGGCCACATCACTCCTATCTCTGCCTTCACCTTCACATTGCCTTCCCTTCATGTCAAATCTCCCTCTGCCCCTGTCTTATAAGGATACATATGATTGCATTTAGGGCTTACCTGGATAATGCAGGATAAGCTCCTCTTCTCAAGAGCCTTAATCACATGTTTTGCTTCAAAATGTTTACTCCTAATAACCAAGATATCCAAATGCCAGCTCTTGAAATATTTTCAGTGATTTTGCTTCTACCTTGGATTTTTTAGGAGCCATAATTCAAGAGCAGTGTATCTTCTTTTAAAACCTTAGATCTGTATTTATACATTTCACTTGCAGCTTTTACACTAGCCTGTTTCCTGGAAAAGTCTTTCACACTTGATTAATGGAGCCATCTCCTTCTTTTTACTGATTCCTCTTCAAATTCCTTCTTTACGGCAGAGCAACCCAAACAAAACAACTCTTTTTAAACTAAGGGCATACCAGAGAGAGATGGGAAGACAGAAAGAAACAGACTACAATTCACTCATGTTTTGTTTAAGTTTTAGAACCTATGGCTAAAAATTTTAACTTTGATTGCATTCTATAAAGCATCTAACCTGAAAAATGTAGATTCTTCAGCAGATCATAAACAGAGACTGAGACAAATGAGTCCTAAAGTCTGTCCTAGGCAAAGTTTCTTCATTCACAGCCAACTACAGCAGTAAAATTTAAAATGTTTTCAGAACCACTCAAAGGCATTATTCATACACTAATTTGTAACTTCTATTCAAGTACCCCAAACTCATATATATATAGTAAGATATAAAACCTTCGGTGGATTAGTATAGCACTTAGCACAGAATAGGCTTTGAAAAAATATTTGCTGAATGAATAAGTGGATTTTTTAAGTGGGATTAATCACTACTAGTGTCTAGTGAATAGGAGTACTTTCTCTTAATTGATATCTTAGTACCTACCTGATGTTTACTATCCATTTTTAAGGAATATCAAAACAGTGTCCACAAAAATGACAGGACAATGCACTGAGCTTGGGGTTACTACATTATTCTCAAATGAGTAGGGAGGTTTTTTCTTCCTAAAACCCATATCGTATTGAACATCTACTATTAAAGCACTATGTATTCCTGATAGTGTAGGGGAAAAAGGAGCACAGGCTAAGGCAGAATATATGGAATAAAATATGCCAAAAGTATGAAATAGTAGACAAGTACAAATAACATATGCTCAGATTAAATAAGAGCAAAAATTAGTTAAGACTGTCATAACCTTTATGACAGTCATAGGGCAATGTGACATTATTTACCAAAATGTATAATATACTTTAAGCCCCAGGAATTCCATCTCTTACTTACAGATATATTAAAAATGAGTCAAGATGTGTGTTCAAAAGTGCAGCCCTATTTATGTAACACAATTTCCAAAAGCACCTAAATATCCTTCACTGTGGTTTGGATAAATAAATTTGATGCCTCCTCACAACAGAATACCATGTGGTCATTTCAAAGAATGTGGTATATCTGTACATACCAACATATCTGTGACGTAGAAATACATATTAATTGAAAAATGTATTTATCATTCACATATATGTGGGCATATACATTTATATATATATATATATATGTGCACGTGTATGTAAGCATAAAACATCTAGAAACATATACATACAGAGGCTACGGAGGGACAGGGATAGAGAATTGGAGAGGGTCAGGGAATTTCAATTGTTTATACATGATTTATAAATAATAATTACATATCATTCTATGCTTTCAAAAAACTAAAGATTACAGAGAGAGTAGGAGGAAAGACCAAAAAGAGAGAAAAGAAGAAGGGTTTCCTAAGAATTCTCAAGTCCAGGACTTACATATACATTTTAAAATATATGCAGCAATTGTGACACAGCCACCAAGGCCAGGCAGTCATGGAATTCACCTTCTCTTGCAGTCATATTTTCTAGAGATTTCTACTCCCACCCCTCTTTGGGAACCCATGTTGCTTGGGACCTGCCCCAAACTTCCTGGCAACGGCAGTTCTGGCAAGAGCAACAGGAAAGAAAAACAGAAGAGAACAGAGCTCTTTTGCCCATCTCAAGGCCTGAAGCTTGAGTAAGTGACAAAATTACCAGCAGACTGAGCATTATTCAGAAAGACTCACCCAACCAGGACCTATATCTCGGTCACCAAAATAAAACTTCCTTTTTCTATCTAAGATCTGAATCAAAAAATGGGACAGGCTGAAATATAGACTTTTAAAAATCCTCCCTTGGCTGGGCACAGTGGCTCATATCTGTAATCCCAGCACTCTGGGAGGCTGAGGTGGGCGGATCACCTGAGGTCAGATGTTTGAGACCAGCCTGGCCAACACAGTAAAACCCTGTCTCTAATAGAAATACAAAAATTAGCCAGACATGGTGGTATGTGCCTGTAGCCCCAGCTACCTGGGAGGCTGAGGCAGGAGAATCGCTTGAGCCCAGGAGGCAGAGGTTACAGTGAACTGAGAGTGCCACTGCACTCCAGCCTGGGCAACACAGTAAGACTCTGTATCAAAAAAAAAAAAAAAAATTCCTCTCTCCTTTCTAATGTTGCAAGCTGTAAAAATAACACCAGCAGAAGAATACAATCATAGGGATGGCGCTACCCAGGTCTGGAGTATGTTCCTAGAAACCCAGATTAGAAAGAGACGTGGGCTTTCTCAGTTCCCCCAGGTCCTCAAGTTCCTCCTCAGCCCATTAGCAGAATCAGTACAGAAACGTCCATGCCACTGCCTACCTGGCTTCGTCCTGCTGCCAGCGGAGTGCCAAAGCTATGGAATGAGGTGTGGGCTACTGAAAGACCATTCAGAACCTGTTCCCCAAATATTACTTGTACACCAATTTGCTACCTCTTCATACCACCTATAATATTATTTACTTAATACTGTTCTTTAAACTAGCTCACACTCTCTTTTTTTAACTAAGTCTTGTTCTAAGGAACAATATCTGTGAAAACAGGTATTTGATGGCATTTTTCTTTTTGAGACAGAATCTTACTATGTTGACCAGGCTGCGGTGCAGTGGTGCAATCACAGCTCACTGTAGCAGTGACCTCTTGGGGCCCAAATGATCCTCCCATCTCAGCCTCCTGAGTAGCTGGGACCACAAGCATGTGCCACCACACCTGGCTTTTTTTTTTTTTTTTCCCAGAGATGGGATCTCACTGTTACCCAGGCTACTCTTGAACTCCTGCACTCAAGTGATCCTCCTGTCTCAGCCTCCCAAATTGCTGAGATTACAAGTGTGAGCCACCATGCCTAGCCTTGATGGCTGTTAAAGAAAACAAACAAACAAACAAACAAATACTAATGAACATTAAAACAAATATATAACCAGGAATTTAAAAAGGGTTTGCCTGAGTCCCATGGTATATGAAAAAGTGATCGTGAACAGTGTTCTAAAAGAAAAAAAAAAAGAAGAAGAAGAAAAAAAAAATCCGTAACATTCTGGAAAAATGATCTGAGGTGCAAGCAAAAGCACTGTAAACAAACTTTGGGAGCACTGCCTACACAAAAGCATGGTTCTGCCACCCATGACTACAGCATCTTTTGTCTTTAGCTAAAAAAGCAGTTGGAGTAAATAAATGGAGAAAGGAGATGAGAAAAAAAAATCCTTTCGTGAATTTTCTCTATCACTATTATTCAGTTTTCTTTAGATCCAATTGCTTTTGGCCTTAGGGATGTCTTTTTGTTCTGAGTCCAAGTATTTAACAGACAACTTCAGTTTGAGATGATGAAAATGATGATTCTACAACAATATGAAAAATGATTAAAATGGTAAGTTTTTGTGTATTTTGCCAGATTTTAAAAATTAACATTAATAAAAGCCAACCACACTCAGCAAATGAGCTAAGGAGAATCTAGAGAAGTTGCCCACAGTGGGCTTGGGCAGGCTCGAAGGGTGGCCTGGCACAGCCTATGTAGCAGGTCAGCCTTTATCCCTTGACCTTCTCTATCTGTTACCACTCAGGGGGTTTAACTGTGGTGTGGAAGGAAAAATAGGGCGGTCCAAGAAAGAATGAAATCATAACCAGCTGGCTGGCTAAACGTCAGTATCTTTTTGCTGCCAAGTTTGAAAAAGGAGAAAGTGGCACTCTGGGTCTCTTTCTAGCTGTAAAATGCAGGGTGGAAGGTGAGTTGTCTTTTCCTTTCCTTTCAATACATTTTTCTGAGACTATTGAGGTTGAAACTATTAGATAAAACTAGATGGTTAGAGTATATCTTGATATACACATATATCTCTTTTATATTAGGCAAGTTTTACATGGTAGTAACCTTAGAAATTAAGAATTGGGATTACATTTAATTGACAGCTGACCTGTGAGTTTCAGTTGGTATCAGCTAATCTAAGGGGGAAAAGAAGAACTCCCATATACAATAGGAAATTAAACAAATCAGTGCCCTTAGAAGCAATCCCATACAATTGTAAAGTATCTTCTTGGAAAATGTTCAAGGATATAGAAAATGCATGATCATGATTTTGTGACATCTATATCACAGATATATATTCATAGAAAATAAGAATTTAGGTCTACATACAAAACTGATACAAGTTACCCCTGGTGACTTAACAATTCTGCATATTTTCTCACAGGCAAATATTTCTTATAATGAATAGCTACTATTTTTATAATCAATAAAAAGCTATAAAGACTTTTCAAAGGTGGAGACCCTTCAAGAAAACACACACACAAACACACACATACACACACACACACACACACACACAACTTCCCCACTCCATTCTGACCAAAAAAAAAACACACACACACAAACATTCATCCTCTATTATAAACAGCAATGGAGAGGAGGGACCCAGCGAGCTGACAGACTAAATTTAGCCGACAGATCTAAGTTACAGCTCCTCTCAAAAACCATCCCTGAAATAGTCCTGGTCTTATGAAATTGAATTTCATACGACTGTCACTCTGGGCTTCATTTAATGAGCTTCTAGTTTTATCAAATGGCCACAGGAATTACGTATTATTAAAAATAGCACCACACTATGCTAGCTGATCCAATGTCTTGGCAAACAGCAACTTGTTTTCTGCATTTTCATGAAATGCCTCACACATGTAAATCAAAATAACAAAGGTCAAAGTTTGTAAAGTCTTTAGAAGGAAGTTATTAACTTCAGGAGTCATAAACTCTACAATAGAGTCTTAAGAAGAAGTAAAAAAGTTTTTTTAAAGGAAGAAACGTATACTGAAGTCTTTTAATTGAAAAGACTTTATAAGATTATCAAATTATCTCGGCAAAAATTTTGGGTTAGTGTATTGTACCTATTTTACAGATGAAGACATGGAGGCTCAGAAAGTAAGTGATTTTAAATTAGATCTTTGTACTACATTTCTAATGATATCACATAGAAGAATTATGCAGAATTTATCATTAAATTGTTTACAGATGAATAGAGCCGAAAGATCCGTTTCTTCAAGTTTAAAAAGATTTCCATTGTAATTATATTTTATCAGTATTTAAAAATACTGCAGGATTTTCTTTTAAACGTGTATTCTTCTTTTGGGTTTAAAGTCTGAAAACAATCTACATATCTTTTCAAACTATCAATCTTTTAATAATATAAAACAAAAAGATGGCTTTCTTATCTTTTGAATTAAACAGTATAAGCATCGCTTGTACAGGAAAGTTTGGAAAAGGTGGGCAGCAGAAAAAGAGATAAACATGACCTTTATAATCTGGAGACCCAGGATGTAGAAATTTTTTTTTAATTACAACACTTAATAATGACTAGTTTCATTTTCCTTGGTTAAACAAAAAACTTTGATTTGTATACTTTCTCATGTGTTGTTTTAAATTGCCTTAATTCTCTATAAATATTGCTCTATTTACACACACACATATAATCTATATATCCTATATTATTAAGATATATCCATTGCTTTTCTTCAATAGGCACAAAGATGCCATTTTTTCAGTATAAAATAAAGACTATGTAATAGAAAGGGGCTTTGGCTCAGGGCTAGGGCTATGTTTAGTAATATTTAAAACGAGGTAGCTATAAAGCATAGCAGTTAATGTGGTGCTATACACTGAATATAGACCTTTTGGGGATAATTAGATCATGATAGCAGAGCCATCATGAATGGGATCAGTGCCCTTATAAAGGAGACCCTAGAGGACTTCTTCAACCCTTCTGCCACATGAGAGTACAGTGAGAAGACAGCTGTCCAGGAGAAGGAGGGAATCAGCTAGCACCTGGATCATGGACTTTCTAGCCTCCAGAACTCTGAGAAACAAATTTCAATTGTTTATACGCCACCCAGTCTATGGTGTTTTGTTATAGAAGACGGAATGAACTAAGACACATGGGCCTTGGAATCTCCAAGACTATTAAGATTTTTTCTTCCTTCACTCACTAATGATTACCATTTGTATGATCTTGAGTAAGTTATCTAACATTTGAGCCTTTTGTTTCTTTATCCTAAAATGAAAATAAATAATATCAACCTCAGATAGATTTTTAAACTTTTTCTAACTTACTTTCTTTCTCTCTTTCTTTTTCTCTCTCTCTCTCTCCTTTCCTTCCTTCTTTCTCCTTTCCCTCTTCCTCCCTCTTTCCTCTCTTTCTCTCCTTCCTTCCTTCCTTCCCTCCTTCCCTCCATCCCTGCTTGCCTTCCTTTCTCTTTTCTTTTCTCTGAAATGCAAGTGGTGCAATCACAGCTCAGCAGTCTCCCACCTCAGCCTCTGGAGTGTTGGGGACTACAGGTGTGTGCCACCATGCCAGGTTATTTTTAATTTTATTTTTGTAGAGAAGAGTTCTCACTCTGTTGCCCAGCCTGGTCTCGAACTTCTGGGCTCAAACAATCCTCTTGCCTCAGCCTCCCAAAGTGCTGTTATTACTGTCATGACCCACTGTGCCCGGCCTACTTTCTATTTTGAAATAATTTTAGGTTTAAAGAGAAGCTGCAATAGTACAAAAAACTGAGGCATACCCTTCACCCAGAGTCCTTTATATTATCAACTTAGATGAGGATAGTACAATGATCAAAACCAAGGAATTAACATGGTTAGAATTCTGTTAACTAAATGACATATCTTCTTTTTAATTTCACAAATTTCCCCTCTAATAGCCTTTTCTCTGTTCCCACAATTATTTAGTGTCCCCTTAGTCTCTGCTAATACGTGGCAGTTCCTCAATCTTTCTTCACCTTTCATGACCCTGACAGTTGAAGGGTGCTAGTTTTTTTTTACCGAATATCTCCAGTTTGGGTTTCTCTGATGTTTTCTCTTGATTAAATTGAGGTTATGCATTTTTGGCAAGAATGCCCCAGAAGTAATGTTGTGTTCCACTCTGATCATATCAAAGAACAGAAGCTATCCATCTGCCCCATTACTGGTAACACTAACTTTGATCCATTGTTTAAGTTAGTAACCTCAGAGAGTTGTTTTTTTACAGGTCCTAGAAAACAGTAGGTCTTCAATAAATGGCAGCTATTATTATGGTAAAGTTCAGACTAAGAACAAGTTTTGAATCAGGTAGACTTGGATTCCAGTTCTCACTCTCCCAGTTTCTGCCATGTGATCATGGGAAAGGTTTTTAACTTCCCTAGTCCTCTTTCCTTCAGTGTACCACAAAAACAAAGCTACCTGAAAAGTTACAAAGTTTTAATCAAGTTACCATAAAGGTTAAATGAAATAACATATGTAAAAGTACTCAGTACCTATGTTTTATAAGTGCTCCATGAAATCAATCACTGTTCTTTTAAGCGAGTTGTCATGTTCTGCGAAATAATCACTATGAACTAAGATAAAGGAACCTGAGATCTGATTACAAAAAAAAAGGTGACTTAGGGGCATGCTGGGAGTAGGAGAGGAAGATGTCAGATGAGCTAGGAAGGCATGGGAGAACCTTGGCCGTGTGACAGCCAATGGCATGTCTCTCTTGTTTCATTTTATTTTTTCCTTGGATAAACAAGTTTTGCAATTAGAGCTTGAGAACACAAAAGGCATTCATGCTTGATTTCTAGCACATTAACCAGATGATGCAAGAGCCGAACCCCTGTTATGTGCTGTGAAGGGCTCTGTCTCACTTGTTCTCTCCTGTAAAACTACTATCCTCTGCTTGCTAGACCCTCTTGTGGGGCTTTTTAGGCTATGACATAGGACATCAAAAATTTTTCTTCTGCAGCTGTCTTTGCTGTTGTACTTGAGTTTAGATTATCAGATGGCAATTCTGCGATGCCTAACACATGGTAGTTATGTTATGAAATAATCCCGCCTTTTAAAATAGAAATCTAACACTGAAGAAACTGGAAAATAAATGTGAAACTAACCCTAGAGGGGTCTTAAGAGGCAAGTCAAAATTGTAAAGACTTCTCCATCAGTCTGCATGAAGAATTATAAAACTAATTATTGTGTCGCAGCCTTTCTGGATTTAACCTCAACTTTGGAAACACATGCCACTACTTACAAGAGTATAGTAACATTTACTGCACTGCAGGATGGAATGCATTACTTCATATAGCTTAGACGGTAATTTACAAAAGCATTATAGCATCCTTATGGGTTGAAGTAATTAGAAAATCAGTATGTGATGCCATAGCTTTTTCTACAGGATACTGTCATTACTAGCTAAGCTCTTCAGCGTCCACACCTTAAAGACTAGGAAGTTAAACAGCTTCCTATGTCCTCTCAATGCCTAAGTGGGAACCTGTATGCTGCTAAAATAAAACGCATGTGTAGTTCTCTGAACAAACCAATGTGACAGATGGAGCTTCATGCTCTGGCTCCTAGGCTAGGAAGGGGACCACAGGCCCAGGTGACGTCTAAGTTGCTATGAGGATTACTGAATTTTCAGAGGCCCAAATTGCCTAGCAGGTTAAGCAGAGAATTGAACAGGGGCCAAGAGTCCCAAGTTCTCTTCTCAGCACACCCCTGCCCCACCTGTGAGATGGAGGGGAGGAAACATCAATTCCCCACTGTCCTGCTCTGCCTAGCAAGGAGGGTGATGATAATAGCTAACACGTACTGAAAGCCTACTATGACCCGAGCTTTTTAAAAGTATAAGCTCACTAAATTCAAAGCAATTCTACAAAAAGGGATAAATGAATATCTATTGACAGGTGAGGAACCTAGGTACTCAAGGTTCCTGGTACTCAAGGTCAAATGGTACCAAGCAACCTGGTACTCAAGGTCAAGTGCCCTACAAAGGGTCACATGTTGAGCGGAGGAGTCCCAACAATAGGCTCCAAAGCCTGTGTGCTCCCCAACTGAGTAGTGCACCTCCAACTGGGGATACCATCGATGATGCTGATAGAAGATTCTGGAATGTGTTTTCAGTTCCTTAAAATGAGTTACCACACCTGGAGACAAATGCTGCCTAAAGGGGGAAATCCATGTAGTTTCACTTTCCTTAACCATTAAGGCAAAGTTATAAAAGCATTCCTTGGGGGTTCTTTCAGAGACTTCCCCTGCTCACTCCCTATCCCAGGTCAAAAAGCCTTCCACAAACACATACACCCACTTCCTCCAAAACTTCCACCATGGAGGGAGCTATTAGAAAAATCAAAGATCCGATTTATATGTGTTTGTGTGGATTTAATTACCTTACGCTATCTCTTTTTTCAAAAAGGACTTTCCCTCTTTATCGAAAAGGCAATATTCTCCCTGTAAGAAGATTCAGGCAATACAGAAATACAGAAAGTTAAATACATAGACAGACAGATAAACAGACACCGCAAGCCAAGCCTCCTCCATCTTATCTTTCAGAGATAACCAGTGCTAACAGGTATATATCCTTCAGGACAAATCTAATTGTCAAATGAAAAAAGCAAGGCGGCAGATTCATAGGTATTGTATATGCTAAAAGAAAATCCTTAGCTAAATTAAATTTAACAGAGGTTAATTGAGCAAAGAACGATTCATGAATCAAGCAGCCTCCCAAGCCACGGTAGGCTCAGAGACTCCAGCACAGCCACATGGTGGAAGATTTATAGAGAGAAAAAGGAAAGTGATGTACAGAAAGTGGAAGTGAGGTACAGAAACAGCTGGAGTGGTTACAGCTTAGTGTTTGCCTTATTTGAATACAGTTTGAACAATTGGCCCCCTTTGATTGACCAAAAATTGGTGATTGGCACAAGAGTAGGTTACAGTCTGTTTACACCTGCATTTAGGTACAGTTCACTATATACAGAGAAACCTTTACACTGAACTTAAAATATTTAAGGAGGCAGCTTTAGACTAAACTTGATTTAACATATGCTACCATTTGTGTAAGAGAGGGAAGGAAGGAGATATGTACATATTTGGTAATAAAAACATACAATATCACTTGAAGGCTTTGAAAGCAACATCCACTATCTCCAGGAAGTAGACCTGGATGGCAAGGGTGGGAGGTACACTTGACATTATGTATCTTTTCATGCCATTTGAATTTTGAACCATGTGAATTTGTTATGTACTCAAAATGTTAACAATTTAATTAAATATTTAAACAAAGCAAATGTACTCCTTAAAAGCCCAAAAGAGGCTGGGTATGGTGGCTCATGCCTGTAATCCCAGCACTTTGGGAAGAAGAAGTGGACAGATCACTTGAGGCCAGAAGTTCAAGAGCAGCCTGGTCAATATTGCAAAACCCTGTCTCTACTAAAAAAAAAAAAAAAAAAAAAAAATTTGCCAGGCATGATGGTGGGTGCCTGTAATCCTAGATACTCAGGAGGCAGAGGCTGCAGCGAGCTAAGTTCGCACCACTGCACTCCAGCCTGGGCGACAGAGCGAGACTGTCTCAAAAAGAAATAAAACAAAAAACAAAAACAGAAGTCCAAAAGAGTGCCTCACATATAGCGAGCGCTTGATATGTACTGTAGAATAAATGGAAAAAGTGGGCCTATATATTTTAACATAATTGGAATTACACTACTTAGATGGCACATGCTGTTTTAAATAACCTACTACATAAAACAATAATAAAACAAAACACCTGATTATTAAGATGAAAAGGCATCCATGATCAGTTCTTAGATAGGAATGATATAAACTAAGAGTGAAATAAGATTTTGGATGTCATCTAGCAACCGGCAAACAAGTCTAGAGCGCCGATGTACAATATGAGGATGATAGGTAATAAAATCATACTGTATATGGGATTCTTACTAAATGAGTAAATTTTTAGCTCCTTTTGCCACAAAAACAAAAATTGAGTAACATATGAAATGATAGTTTCACTATAGTAATTGTTTTACTATCTATATGTAGCCTATAACATCATGTCATATACCTTAAATATATACAATGAAATTTATTTTAAAAAATATCAACTGTCTTCCTGAATATTTTCTCCCAAGAATACTATGGGTAGAGGTCAAAAACAGCCACCTGAATGTCTAGGTGCATCATCCCAAGGGGCTCTAATAAAAGGTGCAGTTTTTTATGTTTATAGTTTACCTTAAAACTACATGTAAATTTTGTGCTTTGCTCTAATAATATAGTCATGGCTGTACTAATATAAAAACCAATCTTTGCCTAAATCTTTAAAAAATATATGCTGTATTTAGCAAGTTACCTCATACTTCTTGGCTTACCACCTTGTATCTGGGGGGAGGTCAAGTACCCAATGTGAAAGTCGCAGGTTCTAGTTAAAGCCTCAAATTATACACAGACTGGGGCCATCAAATCAAAGTGTTTTACTTAAGATCACAAGGCACACACCAGCAAGGCTGAGACTAGGCTATGAGAGCAACTTCCCAGTGAAATAAAAATATTCCACTTTGCTATTTTCTCCTCTTCCTGGCCATCCCCACATGCACACAGCCACTAAAATAAAGGCCTCTGATGTCTCATCAGGCTCTACCAATTTCCATTTATGAAAAGGTTCTTTGGTAGCCCCCTGACCATAACTGGCTAATTCAGCCTAGCTATGCCCACAAAACATAAAATCTCCAACAAGTCCCAAATCTCATTAGACTTTCTATGAAGCTTTTTGTTTGTACAAAAATAAATAAATAAATAAACTGTTCCTAAGCAATTTAGGAATCATTTTGCCTGTATTATTTATAAACGTTTAGTGTACTAATTGAAGATTTGTTTTATTTGTTAAAACCAGAACTTTGGTTTCACAACATTTAGTTAACCAATGACTTTGAATACTTTACGTGTTTGAAAACAGCACTGCCTATTGTTGAAAATATTCCATAATACCCATTACTCCTGATTTTAGCTGGTGTTCCTTTACTTTTTCCAAAGCAACTTCATATTTGAAATTATATTAACCTATTTTATATAAATAATTCATTGAATAATAACCGATGGTTAAAATATCTGCAATGAAATTATGTTCAATTATTATTCAAACTATTCGGTACTACAAATACATGTAACGTCACTAAATCAAATGCATAAATCATGTTTTAGGAAATACACCTGCAGCAGACAAGACATTTGAGCAGGAAATCAATTTTAACTGATGTTTCTCTTTGGGAGAAACAAAGTACACAAATGTTTAGATTGCTGGTATAGAAATTTATTTTCTTTTATGCTTTACTGAATAAAGCTGAACTTTGTTTTATTTGTTAAAACTAGAACTTTGGTTTTGAATAAAGCATAAACCCTGAAGCATTACTCTATTCCCCAGAGGAATTTAAGTCAATAGAATGTTCATGTCAGCTGGGCGTGGTAGCACACACCTGTAGTCTGTAGTCCTAGCTCTGTGGAAGGCTGGAACAGGAGGATGGCTTGAACCCAGGAGTTGGAAGCTGCAGTGAGCTGTGATCGTGCCACTGCACTCCTGCCTAGGTAATGGAACAAGACCCTGCCTCTTAAGAAAAAAAAATTAATATCTAACAATTAGAATGTTCATGTCTAGATACTTTAAAAATCTTTTTTGGAATTACTCCCTTTGAAAGAAATTGGGCAATTAAGTGCTTGAACCAAAATGTCTACAAGGATAGAGGAATCTGAGAACAATTTCTTTACTGTATCAAGTATCTTGAGTCTCCAGGAAAAATTCCAGACACTTTAGGCTCAAATAAATTCCACTCTGTCACAAAAGTCACCAGCATACCCAAATAAAAATCCCTGGTAATGGTCACAGCCTGGGTCTGGGGTAGCAGTGGAGAGGTAGAAACCAAAGTCATAGCGGAGAGAGGGTAATGTCAGGAATAAAACGGCTCCAAGAGGGGCTATGCACTCTGCCCTGGCCTTGTCCTGGAATAGGATGCCAAGAAGCGTGTAGTTTGCCCGAGCATCTCCAAGACCTGGTCAGAGGTATTGAGAATTTTCCAAACAAAAGACAAAACTTTGAAGAAACAAATATAAAGAACAAGGCACATTTCCATTTCAAAACCATTCCAAAGCAACTCAAAACACATTTAAAAGAGAAAGGACTTCTAGTCTAGGAGACCACAGACCTAAAATCAAGTCATTAACTAATCCCCTCTCATCTTCCACTTTTCTCTGACTTAACTGGGAGGAATTTAATACTTTTCCTTACTTGCAGTGCTGTTGTGGGACTTGAACATGATAACTTACATGGAAACTTTTAAAAGCTGAATTTTTTTTAAAAGAAGACACACATGCAGCCAATAAGCATATGGAAAAATGCTCAGCATTGCCAATCATTAGAGAAATGCAAATCAAAGCCACAATAATACCATCTCACACTAGTCAGAATGGCTATTATTAAAAAGCCAAAAGTAACAGATACTGGCAAGATTGTGGAGAAAAGGGAACACTTACACACCGCTGGTGGGAATGTAAATTAGTTCAACTATTGTGGAAAGCAGTTTGGTGATTTCTCGAAGAACGTAAAACAGAATTACCATTAGACCTAGTAATCCCATTATTGGGTATTTACCCAAAGGAATATAAATTGTTCTATCATAAAGAATGTGCACATGTATGTTCATCATAGCACTATTCACAATGGCAAAGATGTGGAACCAACCTAAATGTCCATCAATGATAGACGGGATAAGGAAAATGTGGTGTATATATATGCCATGGAACATTATGCAATCATTAAAAAAAAAAAAAAAAAAGAATGAGATCATGTCCTTTGCAGCAACATGGATGGAGCTGGAGGTCATTATCGTAAGTGAAGTAATGCAGGAGCAGAAAACCAAATAGTGCATGCTCTCACTTATAAGTGGAAGCTAAACACTGAGTACACACGGACAGAAAGAAGGGAACAACAGACACCAGGGCCTACTTGAGGGTGGAGGGTGGGAGGAAGGTCAGGCTTGAAAAACTACCTGTCGAGTACTATACTTATTACCTGGTTGATGAAATGGTCTGTACGCCAAATCCCCATGACACGCAATTTACCTATATAACAAACCTGCACATGTACTCTGAACCTAAAGTAAAAGTTAAAAAAAAAAAAACTGAAATGTTGCACAAATAAATTATTACTGTACTCAAAAGATGGCAAACTTATAAATGATTAATTTGTAATGTCAAAAGTTTTCTGTCTATGTAATTAGAAAAACAAAATAGAATCTAGCTATATCCATTTAGAGAGTCTTAATCAAAGCCATGGTTTCTTTATGGGTTTAAAAAATAATAAACATCATCATGACTTAGATTTGAGTCCATTTCTTCTAAACATAGTATACAAGTGCACAGTCTTTCACCTAACTGTACAAGGTCGCGAGGTAGCAGTGATACCTCTGGGTTCTACTGGTGACTAGGTTCTACTGAGACGTGAACTGCATACCAGCAGAGCTGTCTTCCTCAGGATCCATGAAGACCAGCCCAGCAAGCGCCATGCAAAGGACAACACTACCAGAAAGTGTACCTTCATAACATCACCAGGGCACAGTCCAAGTGTTATTTCAGAAACAAGAGAAAGAAAAGTCAACAGACAAAAGGTAAATAATTGAAAAACGAACATGACAACAAAGTATGGGAGTGAAATGGTATGATGTCTGGGATTTGTCTTAAAATACTGCCCCTCTTTCCCCAGAACTAAGTAGGGGAAAGGGAGAGAGAGAACAAGAATCCAGAAAGTTGATTGTTAATGCTGGGAGATACGGATATGGAGTTCATTCTACTATTCACTTTACATTCTGTGTTTTTTTAAACTGCCATAATAAATTATCTTTAACTTGAAATTTAATCTGGTATGAACCCAATTTGGTTAAAAAATAATACAAACATAAAGCATCCAGAAAGTTTTTTTTTTTTAATGAACCAAAAAATTTATGTTGGGTGGTGGGATGAAATTAAAGAATAAGTCAACTGACTTCACAAAACTGCTGAGCAGAGGAGCCACTATTTACAGCAAGCAGCTCTTCCCACCAAGTCTCACACATACACCAACATTTACTGGGGCCACCATCTTATTAATAATCTACCCATGCATACAGCATTCCTTGAACAAAGTGGGACCTAACCCTGAAAGGGCACCCAAATATTACCCACGTTACACTCTCTATGGGAGGGCTTTATCCACTAGCCCTTTCCTCAAAGAAAGAAAAATACGTCCAATTTCTCAGACTAAAGAAACCAGGTCAAGTCAACAGGAGAAGAGAAAGGAAAGGCAAAAAGATCCAACCCTGACGCACAAGAATGACTCACATTAGACCGATGATAAAAACCAAAGAAGCACAAATCACTGCCTGTCACTTAACGGGAAGATACCTGCTAAAGCTTTACTCTGTATTTTCTCAACCTCTCCTTATTTCCTTACTAGATCCAAAGGCATACAAGACAAGCAGGAAATATATAAGGAACTCCATTATGGCAGATAAGGAGGCACGTCAGGCAATGACACACCATTCCTAGTAACTCCATTTCATAAAGGCACTGATCTGTCACCCACTGATCCCCAGGGCTGATTAAAGGCAATGAGTTCTGAGACCAATTACTAGAGGTATCTACAGAGACTGTGGACCATTTCTGAAACCTGTCCCACAAAAAGACAAAAGATTTTCTTGGCAAAATATTTCTATATTATTAATAGTAAAAACAACCAAGATTCAGGTGATAGCAGCTTTGGCTGATCAGGACAACTTAAAAGATTTTGCAGATGAGCTGGCAAAGGTCCAAGCCCCAACCAAGGGGATTCTTCGATCGTGCAAGTCCTAGGGACACTGTGCTCAGTTTATCTTCCTAGGACAAGGTACTCATTACCCAAATGTTCAGACTCCTGACCTTTGCCAAGTGAGTCATATATCCTATCTCTATATAGATACCACAAAAGGAGTGGAAAAAACTGCCATACAAGCCAATTCCCTAGGCTGAAGGCAGAAATTACTTAAATCCCATTCTGACATCTTTCTGCTTTGAGTTTTAAGAGAAGTTTTCTTTAAAACAACTAGTCTGTTCCTATCTTACAGATAATGTGACTCTTGTGATGTTTTCCTTTGGCCACCAGGAATCCCTGAGCCAAATGTTACAGGCCAAATCTAGCAACTGGATTGAACTTAAAGATTCAGTGATGATATCTGAAGAGTCTTAGCGTTTGTGTCGTGTTTCCTAAAACAAAGACTCCATCATAAGCCATGTGAATTCCTACTTCAGGACGGACAAGAGTCAGAAGTGGTAATACAGGGAATGGCATAAGTGATTTTCCCTTGACACTACAGATGCGTTCTGAACCATATTTTATGACACCTGACAAAGCAGAATTTGTCAAGCCTTGTTTAAGAGTCCCAGTTGGAGCACCCAGTTGGAAACCCCATTTGCCATTCAATTACCCATAACTGTCAATAGTGTTGATTTTACAATGTGTGGTTTTGAAATAGATCTGCACAAATTCTGGTGCCAGGCACCAAGAAATGGAAATCAAAATAAATCTGAGGTTATATGAAATAAATATGCAATAGCAAAAACAAGTTTTTTAAATAACTGCCTTTGCCTTTTGTTTTAATTCATCTAACTTAATTTCAGGGGCAGAAAAACAAGTCAAGTTTACAATGACTTTCAGGCTGTTAGACCCTAATACTCTAAGTTGTTTTTTTCCAGGATTTTGCTTTTCATTCAACAACAAATTGTTTAGCAACTAATAACTGGTCTGAATTCTTTCTGCCTATCTAAAAAGTAAAAATATGGAAGTTGATGACTATGATTAAGCTTTTTAAAGTAATGAACCAGATTAACAAATCACTATACCATCACGAACTAATCATCATATACAGAATAATTTCATAATCTGCCCACTCCTTTTTGCTTTTACATAACAGGAAGAGCTTGGCAGGAGATCTCTGGCAATACTTTGCGTGAGCTCACATCTAACAAGCTTGTCCCTTTAACAAGAGCAACATCAAGCCCCTGAGGGTGATAAATCAATTTCCTGCCCTCTCTGATCATACTGATTTTGTGTGTGTGTGATTAGACACCTCCCCAAGAAAAAAAACACCTTCATGGTCGCTGTTATGATTAGTATATTGAATGTTTACAATTCTAGGTGCAACTCATAGTAAAAATCAAATCACACGAGTTGTTGGGATCCCTGTAATAAATAGCTCCTTCAAGCTATTAAGGAGCAGGTGTAGCATTTGACTACAGTTAAAGTGCTCTTAAACAATTCTACTTGACTCTCACACTGGATTAGTTACCCCTCACTCAGACATACTGATGCATGTGGATGATTAAGCAACTGCCCGCTGTCATTAGTATTAGCCAACCTAAGCTTGGCAACTCTGCTCCCATTAGTCAATATGCAATGCTTACCAAGACTCACTGTATTTGTCTCCAAACCTGCTTGTTTCCATTATTACATAATTTAAATAAATATTGAGTAATCAATGAAACTGGAGTCTGGAAAGAAAGTGAGCTGTTATTTCCACAAAACTAAATTGAATGCTTTAGAAAGACTTGATAAAGGTAAACAGTCTTACCAAAAGATTGCTGCAAAATTAGAGGTGGTTGAGACAACTTTAATATTCTTACGAGGAAAATGTAACTTAAAATGTGGAAGGATTCAGTATTGGGCTGCTTTGAAGTTTTGATGTTCCGGCATCACTTTAAAGAAATAAAGACTGGACATCGATGAAGGATTATGGGTGGGGCTTGTGCAGGAAAGACAAGAAATGGCACAAATCAGAGGACCCATATTCAAAAGAAAATTCCTTGACACTACATAAAACATTGAGAAATCCTAAACATTTCTGTTTCTAAAGTTAATAAAATGTTTATGGTGGGTATGTATACTGCTGAAAAAGTTATTTCCACCCTTAACCGATTCATCATTCATCTGAGGATCCCAATTCTACTGAAAGAGGAACTAAACCAAGGTCTGGACCCTCCAGTGCATTTCCTCCCTTTCCATGATGAAAAACGTTAACAAAACCAGAAGGGGAAAAGTTAGCCTTTGGTGAAATCTTGCCCTCCTTTTAGTGGCTGTCTCCTCAGGAGTCTTTGCTTCTCTGAGCCCTCAGGGTGGGGCTCCCAGTCCCACCCCTCTAGAGGTCCAAGCTTAAAGACTACCTCTTCTCCTCTCTTTACTTCCCACGTGCAGCCCCCATTATCTTAAGTCCAGGTATTCTCAGCTAGGAGTTGAGCAAAGCAAGGCAAAAGTCAACCCACACAGTAAGGTACATTTCTCTTCCCTAGGATGTTTTGCATTTCAGAAGGTCTATGTTCCACAACTGTAAATGCCTCCAGTTCAAGAGTATACAAAAGAGAAGTGAAAAAATTCAGGACCGTGGAAGGGGGGATATTTTGGAACTAGAGAGAGGAAGGAACATGTTAATCTTAAGACGAATTAGTTACAAATAGAAAGAATTAGACTAACTCCATCTGTTTTTGTTTGTTTGTTTGAGGAAGTGTTGACCTTTCCAAGCCAGTTTCCCTGTCTATAAAAATATGGATACCATCACCTGACTCACAGGATTAAATGAGATAATGAGCTGCAGAGTACCTAGTAGAGTCTAGGCACACAGCAGGTGCTCACCAATCATGGCTGCTTTTAGCAGTCTGTCTTCTCACATCCATCCCCACCCCACCCACAAGTGGCATTATTTTTCACATCTTCCTTCCCCCAATTTCTATACCCAAAGATTCTTTTAAAAGTAGCTAGGTCCCCTCCCCTCAATGCATCCCAACAGCGGCAGCCTCCAGTGTTCTGTTAAAAAGAAAGCTGTGTGGTGAACCGGCGGTGTTACTTGAAGATAAGCACTCCACCCTTCTGCACACTCTCAGGAGCTCAAGTACGGGACACTCAAAATGTGAATATCCGTTGGTTGATTTGTACTATCAAATTTACTCAAAATTAATGTGCAGTAAGATCAAAAGCAAAAAAAAAATGCTTCTTCTCTTTGCATGAGTACTCCCAACCCATTCTCTTCAAATGAATCATCATCTAAGATCTCTGATGTAGTTGCTAGATTTAGAGAACTTGTACATTCTTTGCAAATGGCAGATAACTGCCCTTGAGGAGATGGTTAGCAGCACTCTTAGACAGAGGACTCACTCAGTGTAGGGCACTCTGCAGGACCAGGTAGGATAGATACGTGGTCTCTGTGGGTGTCTAAGTTGTCACTCCCCAGTTCAAGGATCTAGAACCTCAAATCATACACATGCACAATAAAGCAAGATGAAGATGTTAAAGAGGACAGAAGAAACCAAGTATGGTTAGCTGGTCTTAGAAAGGAGACAGGCATGACACCAAAGCAGAGGAGAAGGCGTGCAAGGCAGATAAAGTCAGTTTGCTTTAGCAACATCCTGGCTACACACACAACTGATCACAGCTCACTCTCTCGCCGAGAGAGAAAATGCCTATGTTTAAAAGTTCTGAAGAACAAAGTGTCTGGGTTTATTTAGATGTCCACATCTCTTTGCCTCTGTGCATCTGAGTTATCTCTTCTGGATAAGCATCAGTTGCTATATATTGCTTTGGTTTTTCCTTTAGAAGACAAACACAAGTTGAGGAAGCTGCCTTTCCCGTTTGCCAATGATGATAAAATGCAACAGCTGTTACTTAAGCAACCATTTAGGTTTCAGAGGTATTGAAGATAAATCTGTTATTTCTTCTAAAGAAAAGCTTTTTCCTCTTGAGGTGTTAATTACTGATTTTAAATAAGTCACTAAAATCAAGTAAGTTATGTGACCTACGAAGGGCTGATGGTGACAGAATCTGCCTGAAATAGGTAGAGTGGCACCTAAGAACTCTGCCTCTAAGCCATTTCGCCGCTCTTCAGCATGTGACTTGGGAATGCCTTCTACTTATAGATACATTTCAAAAGGCTACACACAGAAAGTTTTCCGTCCCTGACTTTGTACTCTGGTGTGCTAAGATTTTAGTATATAGTTAATATCATTCTGCAAATTTTTTCTCTCAGTAATAAAGTGAGGCAGACAAGTTTGGTGGTTATTTTTCCACTCTCTCGGAGCTTCTTAAAAAGTAGAGGTCTTCAGAAAACAGTAATTATTCACGTGCAATGACAAAAAATAAATAAGCACACCATATAAAAACAATCAGGCTCTAAACAGATGTATAAATGCAGGGAGTAGACATCTAAAATACTTTCAGGAACTATCAGATGACTTCAAAATATGATCATATCATCAGATTTTGAAATATTAAATAATGAAATGAAATTATCCTAACCTTTAAAAAATATTAGCTTTTAATCCAAACTGGTTTATAAAGGCAATAAAATAATATTTTAAAAATTATTTTAATAGTACAGAGTTACTTAATCCAAAAGAATTGCAGAACGTTTGTAAGCAATTTGAAGCTAACAATACCGGTGTTGTAAGTTGGGATGTGATGTCATAAGTGAGAACTTTTCAGTGTTACTTCTCATGGGGGGAGGTTCTGGTAAGTTTTTGCTATATTTTGGTAGCAAGTCTTCTGAGAAATCAATGCATATTCAGTTCTCAATCAAACCAAGCCAAGAATAACAATTACTATCAAGCCACCACATGAAGAAATTAACCAAACAAGCTTAACAGTTCTCTTGTAATATGGCAAGTATTACCAAAGAAGCCTTATAAACAGAGAAGCAGTTTGTCTCTATGGAATGGAAAAAATATATATATTATTATTATTATTCAAGACAGTACCCTAATATAATAGACAGTTCTAGCTAGGAGTTGTATATAGGCCAAATTATTCAAAAGAGTAAGAAAAGAAATACTACTTATGGATATCAAATTCTTAAAAGTGACAGGTTATATGAAATGTCCAGGACCGGAAACACTTTAGAGACAGAAAGTAGATTAGTAGTTGCCTAGGGCTCGGTGTGGAAGTAGAGATTAAATGTAAAAAGATAAGAGAGGAATCTTATCTTTTAAGAACCGATGGAAATGTTCTAAAACTGGTTTATGGTGCTGGTTGTAGAACTCAGTAAATTTACTGAAAATCACTGAATTATATAGAAAATATACCGCAGTAAGTTGGTTTTTTAAATGACAAGGTGATCATTTGGACTTAGCATTTTAATTGGGACTGGGAGGTAACTAAGGAAGGATGTGCTCAAATTCCAAGTTTTGAGAATATTCATCCCTGTACCTTCTAATAATCTGAATTTCAAAACAGGAGATTATAGTACTTTCATACAATAAAAGGTATGCAACTATTGAAAATAATATAGAATATGCAACTATTGAAAATAATATAGAAAAAATATGACAACAATGTAAATGTCCATCAATGAAAGTGGTGCACTGAAATTATAGTACACCCATCCTACAGAAGTGGTGCAGTCCATATAAGCAGTCAGTTTAAGAATGTGTTAAATTATATACAATGACACATACAGAAATATTTCCAGGACATACTGAGTGAGAAAAAGTGCTTAGCAGAACAATGCACACAGGAGGATATATGAGAATGTGTATGAATTACCTATATATGTACAATGTGAATAACTGCATCTATATTTGGGAAGATATATACCAGATTGTTCATTATGCTTAGCTCTTGGAAGTAGAAAAGGGTCAGGGGGAGAGAACTTCCCATCAGAGTTCAAGGAAGGAGGCCAGGCACGGCGGCTCACACCTGTAATCCCAGCACTTTGGGAGGCCGAGGCAGGCGGATCACGAGGTCAGGAGATCGAGACCATTCTGGCTAACACGGTGAAACCCTGTCTCTACTAAAAATATAAAAAAATTAGCCAGGCATGGTGGTGGGCGCCTGTAGTCCCAGCCACTCGGGAGGCTGAGGCAGGAAAATGGCATGAACCTAGGAGGCAGAGCTTGCAGTGAGCCGGGATCGCGCCACTGCACTCCAGCCTGGGCGACACAGTGAGACTCCTTCTCAAAAAAAAAAAAAAAGAGTTCAAGGAAGGAATCTGGAAGTACGTGCGTGAGGTGCTAGGAATGGTTTTCACTGGTTAGATGGGTTTTACATGGTTGTTCATGTTCTTTTCATATATATTCAGTATAACTGTCTATACTTTCTAATGGAGAGGAAGGTTAGTACAGTTGTCAAAAGATTCTGGAGCCAGATGGCCTAGATTTAAAACCTAGCTCTTCTGTTTACTTGCTGTGAGACCTTGAATAAATTACTCACCCACTCTGTGATGCAGTTTTTTGCCTCTGCAAATTGAGGATAACAATAGCACCTACACCATAGCTTGTGAAGATCAACAAAATATAAACACAAGACCTATAGAACACATCCTGGCATATATATATATATATATATATATATATATATATATATATATATATATATATATATAGCTATTTTTTTTAAGAGACAAGGTTCTCGCTCTGTCACCCAGGCTGCAATGCAGTGGTATAATCACTGCTCACTTCAGCCTCGAACTCTTGGACTCAAGCAATCCTCCCACCTCAGCCTCCTGAGTAGCTGAGACTACAGCTATATACCACCTCGCCCAGCCAATTAAAAAAAAATTTTTTTACAGACAAGGTCTTGCTATGTTGCCCAGGTTGCTCACTATCTTATTAGTAAGAAGAAAATATGAAAGCAGCTTTATTTTTGTGAGGAAAAAGGTAAGAAGTACAAAACCACAAGTGCTGACTGTTCCTTTACTACCTGTTCAATATCAGTATGTGACCAGAATGTATCAGGCAATAATGAAAGTCTGGACAGTTGTCAGATCCTGTCTTATGGCCAATACTGATGTAACCAATTTCCCAATAGACCACATCAAGGCCGGAGGGTTCCTGGGCAGGAAGCTCCCAAGTGCCTCCACTCAACCAGGCAACTGCAATGCCTCAAGATGATGATAATTAGTGTGTGTGACCAGACCAATGGCAGAGACACAAACTGTTTGAAATAAACACTTATGCCTAGTAATTGACCTCAATGGGACTTGTGGCCTCATCTTGAGACATACGACGTAAACCAGGGTCAATTATCTGACACTTGAGCCAGCCATGGGAAAAATCATTAATTGTCACATTCTAATAATACACAGCAAATTTCTGCCTTGCTGAAAAACAGCAAGTTCTAAACTAGCCCCAATTTCCATACCTTATACTGTAATTATTTTATTAACCTTTGGTAGTCCTGAAAATATTTTTCAGTGGCCACCCTCTTAATCTGAACAATACTAGAAACTCTTTCTTTAAAAATAACACATTTGTTGAGTGATTACTATGTGCCAAATTTACCTATTCTTTAAAAACTCTTTGATGGAGACATTTTAATCTCCACTTGTGCAAATTAAGAATACTGAGGCTCGGAGAGAGTTTGTTCCTTACTGGGATCCCTCAGTGAGTGGCAACACTGGGAACCAAACACAGAAGCATTCATTTTCAAAGCCTCTGCTTTTCCACCCACAGGAGAAATCCCTCTAGTTTGATTCTCAGGTGGTTCACACTCTATTCCAACTATAAAGTACTCCTTCAAAAGGTCTATATGCCACCAAAACTTTACACCAACCAACCAGAAATACCCCCCACCAAAAGCTCCTGAAATTTTCTTAAGGGATACATGTTTTACATTTGTCACAATCAACATTAGGCTTCTATTTTTCATTTGCCTTCTTCAATGCCAACTGGTTTTCAACAAAGCACCAAGGTCTCACCCACAGATCTGTCCTCACTGAGGCTAAAAAAATCCAAGAAACACCTACTTTCAAACACTCATTTTTCAAAGTAGATTCCCTTGTCGTATTCATTTATGCTCCTGCACAAAATGTCAAAGACAAATTCACAAATGAATTTCTGTCACCTTACTTAGTCACCTTGATTTTTTAAGATTAAGCTAAAGATGCAAAAGATGGACCAAAGTGGTACAAAACTGTTGTACCCAAGAAATTATTTGTGAGCTTTCTGTTGACATTTTAAACATCTTCATTTTGTTAAAAAAATCTCCATTTACCTTTCATTTCAATATTCTGCCTAAAAAATTACCAAACTACAATAAATTTGTCTGGTCAAAAGCCTAATTAATGGCATCATCCATCAATTACTGCATCAGTCCGCATTGAAATGGATGCGTAATAAGCATCATGATCACTCAAAACAACAATGACTATTTCTCTAATGTTCTGAGGTTCAATTATTTTTGCATTGAATGCCACTGAACAGTAACAGAAGTCAAAGCTTAGCATTAGCTTTTTCAAAAATTAATCTATCTTCCTATTGTTGGCTTTTATTTCAGTAAATTCAAATTAATGGAGTCAATTGCCTCCATAAAACTATGAAGAATAAACAAAACCATTAGACATCTCAGGTCAAATGGCAAGAAAAAGGGGCCACGATCCTACTGGAAATTAAGATTTATTGACATTTTCAGGGTATAACATTACATGCCAAGCCAAGAAAATACTGCACAGTATTGCCCTTCATAGGATATCATTAAAAGACTTTCCATATGTATGAATAAGTATATAGATTATTTGAATTGTGAGGAAATCTTTAAAAACCTTCTCTGGAGATGTTTAATTAAACAAAGAACTAGTCAACTATTTTTCTAGGATTTAGGTTGAGTCATAGTTTACATAGTATGTAACAAGCCATTTGTATACTCAATTTTTGTTAACCAGAACCATTTTTTTTTTTTAATTTCAATAGCTTTAGAGGTAGAAGTGGTTTTTGGTTAGATGGATGATTTGTATAGTGAAGTCTGGGATATTAGCGTACCTGTCACCAGAGCAGTGTACCCTGTACCCCATAGGTAGTTTTTTATCCATTACCTTCCTCCCTTCTGAGTCTCCAATGTCCATTATACCACTCTGTACGTCCCTGTGTACCTATAATTTAGCTCCCACTTATATGTGAGAACATGCAGTATTTGGCTTTCCGTTCCTGAGTTACTCCACTTAGAATAATGGCCCCCAGTTCCACCCAAGTTGCTGCCAAAGACATTATGTTGTAACCAGAACCATTTTAAATGTTCGAAGAAGTTTGTTCTTTGAATAAATTTAGACAGAAATTCATTTTTGATCTATTATCTTAAAATCCGAAAAACATAGTTTTAATAACACTACTCACAAAAGAACAGACATGATTATTACTCACTGGCCAGTCTAGACAGAAAATTACGTAAATTCAAAGAAAGAAGAGTTTCAACTAACTAACAGTTGGCACAAGTACACGGTTCGCATGTTCAATGTTCCATAAAGTTTATGAGGTAAATAATATACTATTAGCTTAAACCCATCCCAGCTGTCAAGAGCCTGAGTAGAGGTTACGAAGATAAGAAATGAAAGTATTCTAGACTCTAGGGGTACATTTGTCAGGCATGCATATATCTAATTGACTAATGTGTTCCAAAGTGAATCTTCATTCGAGTTCTCTATTTCTGCTCATCCTCTGCTCTTGCTCTTCTTTGTCTTCATTCATTCATTCAACACATGGTGTTTCAAAAGCCAGATGCTACCCTAGGTGCTCAGGATACAGAAGTGAGCATTATCTACAACTCCTGGCTACCAGGAATGATCTCATCATGTGGCTAAATTCTGACGTTTCCAGACAAGGTTGTTCATAAGCTCACCTGCTCTTAAGAGGCTCAATACACTGATGAAGGTTTAGGCAAATACAGAGGGGAAGGACACCAACATCTAGTATGTCTTAAGAATAATTTTGCTGTAAGATAGTACAGGGTCTCCACAGGTATGGGACATGGTAGTGTCAGGTGGGATAACCTTTAGCCCCAAACTACAACTACTCAGGCCACAAAAACAGCAGAAAGTATGGCCAGATTTCCTCAACCCCTACCCTTCTTTTATTTCCTTTGTAAAAGAACATGTTTAATATTCCTTACACCAAAATAAAAATCTTTTTAATGGAAATCAAAAGATAGACGGTAACATGGGGGAAACAGGTATAATACATATGAAATAGGATGAATTTTCCTAATTTAAAATGAGCTCATACAAGTCAATATGATAAAGACAAGAAGACACAAGGGCAAAAGGAAGGAAAAAGAGGGAGAAAGAGGAAGAAGAAAGCACATGAGTGAGCAGTTTACAGAAAGAAACTCACAATGGACCTATGAAAAGATCCTCACCCAGAGGGAAAGTAAATTTTTAACTTACCAGATTGGCAAAAATGTTAAAACTTGGTGAATGAAAAATGTTGATGGAAGCGTGGGAAAGACATAATCTTGTTTTGTTTTGTTTTGATTTTTTTTTTTTTTTTAAAAAGGCCAGGCTCACAGCTGTAAGCCCAGTGCTTTGAGAGTCTGATGTGGGAGAACTGCCTGAGGCCAAGAGTATGTGACCAGCTTGAGAAACACAGTGAGACCCCCATCTCTATAGAAAATACAAAAAACTAGGTGGGCATCGTGGTGCATGCCTGTGGTCCTAGCTACTTGGGAGGAGCGAGCATTGCTTGAGCCCACGAGTTTGAGGTTGCAATAAGCTATGATTGTGCCACTGCATTGCAGTCTGGGTGAAGAGCGAGACCCTGTCTCGAAAAAACAAACAATCAGTGACCTTTCCAGAGAAGAATTTGGTGATGTTTATCAAAATTTGAAATGTATTTTCCCACTGATGTAGCAATCCCACTCACAGGAATTTACCCTACAGGTATGTCAGCAAGATATTTATACGAAAATATTTACAGAAAGGCAGACTGCAATAAATCCAATAGCTAAACACAATCCCCCCAATGGCAACTATTAAAACATCCAGAAAAAAGGCAAAAATAAAATC
This sequence comes from Homo sapiens, assembly GCF_000001405.40. Lineage (NCBI taxonomy): Eukaryota > Metazoa > Chordata > Mammalia > Primates > Hominidae > Homo > Homo sapiens. Next base: position 50,404,843 of record NC_000010.11, read on the forward strand.
AATTATTATACACCCATAAAATAAAATATTGTACCATCATTAAAGTGAATAAAGAAGATCTGTATGTGTTGACAGGAATATATCTCAAAAATAGGTAAAGTACAAAGAAAAAGCTAAGGAACGGTATGTATATTAATCCCTTTATTAAAAATGTAAAAAGCCAAAAGCAAGATAGACGCAGATATGTGCCAAAATATGTATTTTTTTTTCCTGGAACAAATCACAAGAAATGTAATAACAGTTACAGTGAGAGGAGCCTTTGACATCTCTTTCTAAACTATTTGATATCATTTGTATACTAACGATGTACATGCACCATTTTTACTTATTTTCATATTTTAACCATATCCTTTCTTTTACACTCTGTTCCTCAACAAAACCTAATTAAAAAAAATAAAACCAGAAAATTTAAAGCATTTATAATAAACCTCAACATCTGAAAATCCCAAAATATATTTACCAAATCAAAGGCTTTTCAGGAGAGTTCTGAGGAAGAAAAAATACAGCAAAATAAGAGACAAAGTAGAGAAAAAGGGGGCAATGCAGATGGAGATAGATCGAGTATCAACTCAGGTTCAAGGACAAGGCTGAGTATTTCTCCCTTTCTAATGTTTTAAACAAACTGATAAATTATGCATTGCATGGTGTATAGAGCAAGAAGCCACAAAAAATTAGCAGTTTACAGTTGTAGAATGTGGAAAACAACTGAGAAGAAAAATCTTTGAAAAGCTCTTCTGGAAGAACTATCCCAATTCATGAAAAGCAGTAAAGAAACACCCTCACAAATGAAAGAAAAATCCTACCATGTACAAATAAAATATACTAGAATGTATTATGAAATCTTTTGGCAAATATTTATAATTCTTGAGATAAAATCCCAAATTGAATTATTTCACATGCAACTATAATTCTAGGTTATGCTACATATCTTCATAGGCATTAAACAAAAGCCTGGAATGTCATTTAGCTGAATGTCATTTCAAAAATGTGGCTCCAACTCATTAATATTCATGTATTTATCCAAGGTTTAAGAGATGAACAGTAAAACTAAAATACTTAATCCTCAAAAGTCCCCTAGTGATGTCACTATGAATAGCACAGGTAATAAAACCACAAAAATGTGAGCATTCTAAGGAAAATGATGAAGTACTACTGGAAGGAAAACCCCACCTAAATATATATATACACACACACATACACATACATGTGCAATTACCTTGTTGAAAAAAATAATAATAAAGGCTCTGAGAAGAAGGGTGGTCTTGTTTTTCTCCCTGTGTCAGTTATCAATTTACTGCCTCTCAGCTACAAATTCACCATTTACAGCCTGATTTGCAAAAGGGGATCTGAGCCCTGTAAGTATTTTCCATTTGCTAGCTGACATGATGTTTGTTAATTTTTGTCTGTAGAAAATGCTAGAGAGACATTGTAGGAAGGAGTTTTGCTTCCTGGTCTGATCAGGAGTCACATCAGACTCCTGTCGGATGTGCAGCTTCTCCAAAGCCTGTCTCAAACAGTTTTTAGCAGAGTGCCTCCAGTAGATATCCGCCCATGAATAGCTTTCCCTGGGACCATGAAGGATGGATTTTCAGCAAGTTCTGGAAGGCAGATTTTTAGTAAGTTTTGCTGGTGTGGCACTACAGCAACTGCTCTGCCATGCAGTGAATCAAGGACGTGTCCTCTCCAACAAGGTCTGGATCTCAGCTCTGAGAGGGGGTAGGAAGTTGGTCTCTTCCTTGGATCCTCTATCTCAGCCATTGGAGTAGTAGATGCTACCTATATCTGCTATTTCTATAGAGTTCTGTTTACTTTTTATTAGCCAATCTTATCATTGCTCCAATCCTTTGTTATAGCTATAATTCTTTTTTTTTTTTTCTTCAGAGATAGGGTCTTCCTCTATCACCCAGGCTGGAGTGCAGTGGTGTGATCCTAGCTCACTGCAGCCTTGTCCCCTTGGGCTTAAGAGACACTCCCACCTCAGCCTCCCAGGCAGCTAGGGCTACAGGCATGCATCACCACACCTAGGTAATTTTTTTGTTTGTTTGTTTGTTTTTATAGAGACAGTGTCTTGCTATGTTGCCCAGGCAGGTCCTGCGCTCCTGGCCTCAAGTAATCTTCCTGCCTTGGCCTCCCAAAGCAGTGCTGGGATTACAGGTATGAACTACCTCACCTGGCCCTAATAAGTCTTAATATTAAACTTTCCTTGTTTAAACTACTATGCAGTTTCTGCTCCCAGACTGAACTGATGATATACTCCCTTTACTAGTAGCATTTCTGCAGTAGGCCCAGTGGCAACGTGCACAAGTAAAAGAGCAAGAATTAGCATTTTTCCAGTTCTGTCCCTATCATGGCTTAAACTGTTTAACCTCTCTGGATTTGCTAAGTGATATATCATAGAATGTGCCGATAAAAATCTAGGTGAAGAAGTGGTTAATCCTCAAAAGTCCCCTAGTGATGTCACTATGAATAGCACAGGTAATAAAACCACAAAAATGTGAGCATTCTAAGGAAAATGATGAAGTACTACATTTTCTGTATAGAAATTCTGTATTTCTACAATTTCTGTATAAGAATTCTGTCTGCCTAACCCGAGAAAGGGAGAAGCCACCAGGAGCACTTCTCACCTTATTTTCTGTTGATATCTTTGATATCCTTTCTGGTCTCAGCTCCTATCCACCCTGACCTCCAAACGGCCTCCTCCAATTGTCCCTTCAACCTGGGGTTGGTAATGACTTCCTGCCATTGCATCACCTGTGGAAGTAACTTTACCGCATTCCCCCCGCCGTAAATAAGAGTGGCTTTTTTTTCCCCCTGCTAAGCTCTGACTAACCAGTTACAATAGAATGGGTGCCTATACACATGCTAAAGATTCACTGTGTCTACTCTTGAAAGCCATCATGTACTTCTAGGATTCAAAGTTTAAACCTGAGGAAAACTAAAATAATATACCTTTGTTTGGCCTAAAAGAGCCAGTTAAACCCCTGAAATATTTTGATTTATAGAGGACTTGCTTGAAAATGGATCCAGCGCCTTAATATCTATTTTTTTTAAGGCTGAACTTTTGGCTGAATCATTTTCCCTAAATTTGTATCTAAATATCAAAAAATTCATTTAAAAAAAGCTTCCTTTAGACAGTGTATATAGCACAGTGCTGTCCAGTAGAGCTTTCTGAGATGATGGAATGGTTCTGTATCTGTTCTACATAATATGATAGCCACTAACCACATATGTAGCTATTGAGCACTTGAAATGTGTTAGGTCCAACTAAGATTATTAATTTAAATATTCGCATGTGGCTAGTGCCTATTGTATTGGACATCAAAGGTCTGGCATATGGTCCTCTGTAATCTGAGGAAGGCCTTCTGCTGCTGGTGGTGTTCTTGTATGCTTTGGCAGGGAACAAGTAGGTATAGAGAAAAGCAACATAGAAATACTAGCCCTTTTATTCATTCTAGTCACAGTTTAAAAACATTATAACTGGCAGGTGCAGTGGCTCACGCCTGTAATCCCAATACTCTGGGAGGCAAAGGTAGAAGGAATGATTGAGCCCAGAGACCAGCCTGGGCAATATACTGAGACCTCATCTCTTAAAAAAAAAAAAAAAAAAAAAAAACAAAATAAAAACTTTTTTTAATTAGCGAGGCTCCTGGCTAACACGGTGAAACCCCATCTCTACTAAAAATACAAAAAATTAGCTGGGTGTGGTGGCACGCACCTGTAGTCCCAGCTACTCAGGAGGCTGAGGCAGGAGAATCGCTTGAACCTGGGAGGCAGAGGTTGCAGTGAGCTGAGATCACACCACTGTACTTCAGCCTGGGTGACAGAGTGAGACTCCATTTAAAAAAAAAATAGCAGGGCATGGTGGTGCATGCCTGTAGTCCCAGCTACTGGGGTGCGTCTCAAGTATCCCAGCTATTGGGTCGGGGGGGCAGTTGAGGCAGGAGAATCATTTGAGCTTGGGAGTTCATGCTGCAGTAAGCCATGATTGTACCATCGCACTCCAGCATGGCTGACAGAGCGAGACTCTATCTCAAAACAAAACAAAACAAAAAAAGATTATAACAACCCCTAGCCTGCCTGACCTCCCTCCTGCTACTGGCTACAAACATGGACATATAACTTACTCAGATAACTTAGTTAACAAATTCTTAGGGAATAAAATCCATTCATTTTATTCATATAGATTAGAGTCCAGACCCAGTAGTGAGAGGCACTCACTTTGGAAAGAGGTAATGTTAGAATTATTGCTTTATTTTTCCTTTTCTTTTTATTTTATTGATACACAATATTTGCACATATTTATGGGGTACATGTGATAGTTTTTGCATGCATAGACTGTGATGATCAACTCAAAGTATTTGAGATATCCATGACCTCCAGTATTTATTATTTCCATGTGCTGGGAACATTTCAAGTCCTCTCACCTAGCTACATCAAAATATACAATACATTGTTGTTAACTATAGTCACCCTACTCTGCTATCAAACACAAAAACTTATTCTAACTGGATGTTTCTGTTTTTCCTATTCTTCAACCTCGCTGGATATAATCCCATTTATTCCCTGAACTGTTCCTGTCCATTCCATACTCTTTTCCCAAAAGGATTCCTCTACAGTCTTCCCAAGACCATATGGTTTTCATACAACATATCTCTATGTACCCTGGCACTACTGAAACTGTGACAGACATTCCCTTTGAAGTAGACTGTGATGACTAGTTTGTCAGTTACAAACATTTAATTTCATATCTCTGACCTTTACTTGGACATAATCAAAATAAATGACAACAGATTTCTCAATTCTCCTGAGAATTTTGCTCCTAAAAGTAAATGCTAAATATTAGCAATAGATAACTTCAGGAAACTCTTTCGATATATCAACGGGAATATAAGACTATAAAGAGGACAATTATATAGGAACAGATAACTTCAGGAAACTCTTTCAATATATCAACGGGAATATAAGAATATAAAAAGGACAATTATATAGGAAAGTACCACAGGCTCTGGAACCCAAAATGCCTAAGAAACTATATACAGCCTATTATCCTGAGAACCAAATGAAAGTATATTTCATAAGTCTACAAGAATTTTAACAATATAAAATCACACTGAAAAATTCTGTGAAATTTTGTCTATGAACTGCTTTGGGTGAAAATTTCTGTAGTTGTTTAGTAATCTGTGCAATTTAAATGAGAATTATAGGACACACTAACTAGCAAAGTAGGAATTAGTTTACCTTGTAATTTTAACAATGTACTCTAGTTTCTTTTACTCGTTTACATGAGTCACTCACAGAACAGAACACCACATTTCCCACATGAATAAGCACTCAATGACATTCATTTTTCTTCTCAACGTTTTCTAAATTGCAATAAAAAAGATAATAATATTATGATGGTCATGACACTCTTGTGTTGCAAGTCAGATAGGAAAGGGCATTCAAGGTGAAGACAAGCAAACCTGGGGAAGCCAGCTGGTCCTTAGAGTGCAGTGTTATCTGGGGAGACTCACATAGTCCAAGGCTGTCCTTTAGTCTTGCAAATTTATAAATACAATGATCAGAAAAGCATTCATACTGACCACACTTGTGGTGACATTAAAGTAAAAACTCGAGCTGAATACCTTATTGTGAGAATGTAAACCATCAGGTGGGTTGTTTGCTGGCATGTCTGATGGCAGATCTCTGAAAAGCATAGTTACATGAAGTGGCCAAATTACCATGAGAAGGATGCATAGTGGGCATGGAACAAAAATATGTTCTGTGTCTTCCTGTGTGGCCTGACACTGTGCACTGTGAGGTTAAGGAGGACTCAGCGGTATTCACCGATGAGGGCAAGACCAATCTCTAATTCAGATTTGGAACTTAGGCAGATTTCAAAAGCCCTCAGACAGCCCCACCATAGGGGAAGACCCATATGGAGACCTGGTAATGCCGCCCTAGGGGTAAGGCACCTTCTCTGTAGCTAGGCCAAGTTGGCCTCTCAAATTCAGTCTCCCATCCCAGTCTTCAAGTTCTACTTCTCTAAATTCCTCTTCAGACAATTTCCCTCTCAGAATAACATGTTAGTTCCTTTAATCAAGTTATAGTTCTATAACCAAGTTATGGTCTCTTGTTGTATGTTTGCTGTGATACATTCATTATAGGTTAGTTTAATAATTTCTTTTGGAGTCAGGTCTTTCTTTCCAAATTGAGAAGAGGGAAAGGTATATATAGTACACATACTATTACCTGAGGGCCCTCATGTATGGCATATACACCATACTCGTGGTAGAAGCCAATAATTCCAGTGAAATGAAAGCTTTGGAATTTCAAGGAAGAAGGAGGGACCTCTTGAAAAAACAAATGAATAAACCTATAACCACACTCTGTATTTAAAGAATTCATTGAATGCCAAGCTTAAACTCTTTAAAAAATACAAGCTAATAGACCTATGGTGTGGATAATGAGGCATATTGTTCCACTCCACCTTGACTTAAATCTGTTTGTTCCTTTATGTCTAGGACGTGTTTGAGCCTTTTGGTGAGACCCTTGCTTCAAAAGGGGGGAAAAAAACAATTCTATTTTTACATCTGTTAACTCAGCACAAGTCTAGAACTTGGGATTTTGGTACCAATTACTGCAAAATTACAAGTTGATGCCCAGGAGCCTTGTAAATACACAATCAGCTTTCAAACATTTTCAGCAACACTTCCTGCAGTGCGTGGTAATTTCTAGTCTCATCCATATCTGAGAAATCAAAGTGACAGAATGCACCTAAAGTGGATAAATTGTTTTATGGGGTCTCAAGAATTGTGGTCACTGGTTCCACCTGAAATTTTAAACTGCCTAGTCTTTCTTTTAGTTTATTTATTATCAGCTTGACTTTCAGTTTGGTTTGAGTATCAAACTCTCCGCTTCTGACCCCATAGAACTATGCAATTTTGTATCACCAGTTCAGGATTCTCTGTTAGGATCACCAGGTTTCTTTGCCAATACTGCTTACCCAGCAACTCAGGGGCGGCTTGAGGCCATCAGAGTCTGGAACACCACCGTCTACTTCTGTATGATAAGGAAAGTTAATTAAACTTGAAAGTTAGCTTAATGAAGGCCTCTAAGCACTAGCAGGGCTTAGTCTATGTTAGTAATTTCTGAGAAGTATGTTTTCATCTGTGCGCCAGTCACATTTCACATGCCCCTTATGCTGGAACTGCTGTGCTCCCCTTGGGCAGCCACCACCTGAGAGGGATGAGCTGGCTGTGAATTGTCCCAATGATGTGAGGGGACAGATTTCCTTCCAGATACCCATAGAGAGGCAAGCTGCTGGGGGCAGAGGGTACTAACACTCACTCCACTAGAGGATTCAAGTCACATGTTTATGTGAGGTTTACACAATTCAATGCAATAGGGACACTGAGAAAGAAAATCAAGACCACTTTTCAAAAAAATTCCTAACTTCAATTCTCCAAACTGAAAAAGCGCCTCTTCCTAAGCCATGGAACTTTTCATTGCTGGACCTCTTATTGCCATCTCCCTGGAAAATTAACAGAAATGCAAAACAGTCTGCCTTTATAAGGTAGACAACAGACGGATTGTGAATACTCTGAAATCTTCCCATCCAACCCCTATCACCTACAAAAATTCACACCATTAAGTCAAATACATACAATGCCAATGGCTCTTACGGATAAGCTACACACTGCTATAGCTTGCTTGATACACAAGTGGAAGTGACAGAAAGGGTGATCACATGAAAGCTTTATCTTTTCAGGCAAGGCTGAGAGGGTATAAGAAATCACTAAGATGACAAAATTGACACATTTGCACATACATTTGCTAGGTGTGCTGCTTACACCTTAAGGCATGGAAAAACATATTTAAGAGACATAATATCAAGAGTAAGATTAAAAAATAGAATTACACTGCTTAAGAACAAACATTACATGTTTTTATAGTGGAACAATTCACAAATGCAGAAGTTATATTATTGGCTAATTCCAGACTGATAAGAAATAGATGACTCTTGTTTTCCATGCAACTTATGCCTCCCTCTAATAAGTGCTTCTCACTTTAGTGCATATTCTTCATTCCCTACAAGGCCAAAGTGATATCTGTAAAGACATTTACTTCTCCTAAGATTTATCACCTTTGGAAAACAGGAGCCCTTTTATTTTTAATATTTTAACTATTAAAAAATCTAACTTCCTTATATATCCTCCTTCCAAATCTTACATTTTAAAAAGCATCAGTCAATTCTATTAACCTGGAAAATGTAAATTTGAAAAAAAAAGTTATCTCTTGTGACTGTGCCTAAGGACTGTGCTACATAATTTACATGTATATCTTGTTTATTCCTCTAAGCCCTATGAAATAGAGATTTGGTTTTCACAGATAAAGAAACTTGCCCCAAATCACACAGCAAGTTAAACTGGCAGGGCTGAGATTCCAGCAAAGGTGTATCTGACTCTCAAACCACGATAATATATTCCTCCAGGAAACAAAGCAAATATTTCACCGTGCTGCTGATGATAAAATGTGTACACTGTATACACTTGCAGATTTCAGCATACATTAACTCTCAAAGGCCTTTTATAAACATACTGTTAAAGCTACTTGGTGATTTCGTTAAAGCAAAGATTGGCATTCAAATGTCAGAAACAGAAATACATACATTGAACTTGTAAGCCAGGATTTCTCGACCATAACACTACTGACATTTTGGACAGGATAACTCTTTGCTGTGGGGCCTCTGTCCTGTGCACTGTAGGATGTTTAGCAGTATCCATGGCAGTATCCACTAAGTGCCACTAGCACACCTCCCCAACCCCAGCTGTGACAATCAAAAACGTGTCCAAATATACCAAATTTTCCCTGGGGGTTTAAAATTGCACCCTGCAGAGAACCATTGAGTTAAGCTAATCACCCAAGATCATAACAACTGGTTGAAGACTGTACTGATCTGATTTGGACTGGAGATAAGAAAGAGGTCTCCTAAAACCTAGTTTAGTGAAGATTTCTCATACACCAAACTATAGCTCCTTAACAGAAAGCACTTATTAAACTGGACAAAATGTACAGACTTCAAAATGTGACCATCTCTCTTTTACCACATTGGTAATAGTAAATAAATATAAAGTATCATTTCTCAGCTTAAAAGTTTTTAATTTTTTAATTTTTTTTCTGTGGACCTCATCTGATTGAAAGTCTCTCAGCTTTTACACTAAGGTGAAGACGCCTATTGTTTTTGGACCACTGTTCAAATAACAGTTACTAGACACTCTCCAAAACCTAATTACAGCCAGGCACAGTGGTTCACACCTGTCATCCCAGCACTTTGAGAGGCTGAGGTAGAAGCATTGCTTGAGTCCACAAGTTTGAGTTCGAGACCAACCTAGGCAACACAGTGAGACCTTGTCTCTGCAAAATATTAAAAAATTAGCCAGGCATGGTGGCACACCTGTAGTCTCAGCTACTCAGCAGGCTGAGGTGGGAAGACTGCTTGAGGTTGCAGTGAGTCGAGATCATGATGCTGCACTCCAGCCTGGGCAACAGAGCAAGACTCTGCCTGAAAAAACAACAACTAACCTATTTACCACATTCTGGATATGTGTTTAAACACAAACCCAGAAATGTGCATAATATTGCCTGAAGTAGTAGTAGTGACAGTAGTTAACAGCAGCAACAACAGAAGACTAGGATCTAATATATACAATTTACTATCCGATTCTGCTTTAAGCACTTTACATGGATTATATAATTTAATCCTTCAACATCTTCAACAGCCCTCTAAGGTAGGTATTATTACTATTATTTGTATTTTATGAATGAAGAAATAGAGGCATAAAGAACTCAAATAACTTGCCCAGAGTCTGGCTTTGGAGTCTCTATTCGTAACCACTATCTACAGTGCTTCAAAGAACGACGCAATTATCATCTCCTTGGTTCCAAATACCCTATCTCTTGTACTGTGTGAAGTTTTTCCCACCAGCTGTACCATATGCCTTTCTCAAGCGACACTATCGACACCTTGCTCAAGTCTGACATTACGCCACTGATCATCCCTCTTTGGGTAAAAGACCTAAACTCATTCATCTATACCGCTATCCAATCCATATTTTTCCATCTTGAGTAAAGAACACACGTAGCACGTTATTAAATGCTCTGATGCCGGCGCCTGTAGTCCCAGCTATTCAGGAGGCTGAGGCAGGAGAATGGCGTCAACCCGGGAGGCGGAGCTTGCAGTGAGCTGAGATCGCGCCACTGCACTCCAGCCTGGGTGACAGAGCGAGACTCCGTCTCAAAACATAACAAAACGAAATGTTCTGATGAAGCAGACATTGCATATCTATGGCAATGCCCTGATATACTTGTCCAGTAACATTATTAAAAAACAAATGAGGTTAATTGGACATGAATAATTCTTAGCAAACATACGCTACATACTGATCATCACTTTTATTTTTGTAAGTGATTCTGACCAATCTTTTAAAAAATGTGATCTACAATTCTGCTAGACACCAACGTAAGTTATGAATCTAAAGTTTTCGAATTTACCATTTCCCCATTTTTGAAAATGGACTCTGTGGCATGCTTCCCCCTCTCCATGACTTTTCCAAGATTACTCCCAAGTGGTTTTATCATCACACTGGCATGTTCTTTCAACATGCTCAAGAATTCAGGTCACTTAAAGCAGTTAGGATTTAGAGTGGCTTAAGGAAGTGGGTAGGTGTTCTGTGTCAACTAGATGGTGCAGGTGATGATGTGGGGCTGTCAGCAATGCCTAGTCCTGGAATATTTCATGGTATTTCATGGTCTTCGATGAAGGTGGCATTATTCTCTTGTATGATGATATGCCCACAGATGGACTCTCTCAGAAATGGATGCTCTGATCAGACACGCTGAGACTTTCTCACCTCCACATAACTAGTTTTAGCTCTCACAGAGTGTGCCTTTCATGAACTCACCATTCTTAAAACAGGTTCAACGCTAATCTAGGTGCTAACGTAAATTTAAAAATATTTCACTTAGCATATAAAATACTGCAGGTATGCACTCACAAACAGGGGATTCAACTAGAGAAAGCCTGAATAGCACTTGTGACACGCAAGAGGAAAATGCACACCCTGAATTAAAAGGTCTTCAGAAAAAAAGCAGAAGAAAGTTACCGGAGTTCAGCAACACTAAGGCGGCCATGTGCATTAACGAGCTCATTAAGAGTAGGGCTTTCTCAGTTAATATTTGAAAGCCGTAGCCTTCTAGAGTAAATGCATAATTCCTTGAACTTTGATAATTTGGCGCTGGGACAATGAGGCACTTTTAAATCACTTAAAAATCTGCTTTGAACCAAGAACCTCCTCTGGATCATTTTAAACAGAAAAATCAACACCATTTTAGGAGCAATTGGAGCCACATAGGAAAAATAACCAACCTTAAATGCTAACTTCCAACATAAACTAAATTAACTAGCTGTGAAATTTGGAGCAGGTAATATAACCTTACTGAGCCTGTTCTTCAACTATAAAACAGGGTCAAAAATACCTCCACCTCTTAGGACTATTGTGAAAACTAAATGAAGTAATGTATACAAAGCATCTCAGTGCCTGATAAAGGAGATCCTTAAATATTCAGCTTTTATACAACTATTAGGTGAAACTAATAAAATTCCAAATTTAATTATCTCTTTGGATTTGAGGCATCTTAGAGATATAATAAAATATTATCCCATTCTCACCACCTGAGGGGGCTTTTTCAACTGTCTCAGTGACTTGAGAACCGTGGGCTTAGGCCATTTCTCCCAAGTTTACATGCTATTTCTCAAAGAGGATTCTACACTGTTACCTTTTACACAGAGCCATTTGATCAGTTCAACTCGGAGCAAAAGGGCTTAACAATTAACCTATGAGCTTGAAAACAGTGTTACTAGGAGCTCATAGGGTAACTTAAAGTTTCTAACAAATTATTTTAATTATTCCATTTAGAAGTGGTTTCTTTCTAGGGAAGTTTCCTTTATAGAACTAAAAAAAAAAAAAAAAAAAAAGCCAGCTGCGAAGAATTTTCTTTCTCTCGCTAAAAAAAGCCAGCTGCAAAGAATTTTCTTCCTCTCTCCATGACAGTCTATCTTTTAACCTCATCACAGTCTCTATCTTCATAAATGCATGTGTAATGATGCTATTCGTGACTTGCTCATTCATATTCATAACTTCATAATTCAGTTTACAAGTCTTCCCACCATCCTTTATGTTACTGGGACGTCTTTAACCTGTCTTTCCTGTACGCAGTCAGTGTTTCTGATCATGATAACTTCCCTGTTGCATTGTGTATATCCTCAGTCGTCACAGGATTCCACTTTCCCTGTCCCCTACTTCCCCAAACTCTTGCAAGAAAATAAGTTACTTGGCATCATACAACTGCACTAATTTCTTATGTAGAAAAGCGGGTTTTTTAAGTGGCTCACTGGACTTATTTCTACATAAATTTAAAAGCGGTAACTCAATTGGATAAAAATGTTATGATAAATATTTGTAGCATTCAGGGTAACAGAATTTAGGTCTCCAGATTTCCTATTTTGGTATAACTACACAAAACAAACACAAAAATAAAATAAAATAAAATAAAATAAAATAAAATAAATGTCATGCATTCTTCTCCATGTATTTATTGACAAATTCCACAAGAGCGATTACCTGGCCACACTAAATAGAAAGCACAGTTATGGAGTAAACACACTCAGTCCAAAACACAGGGGCACGTGCATCCTTGTGGCACTTAGTACCAAGCTCATTCACAAGCCAGCTTCCAACCAACCAAAGGAGTTGCCAAAAGGGCTGTTTCGTACAGGGACTGGAGTTTGAGAAAGTGAGTACTTCCCCAAAACTTAATAACCAATCTGTAGACACAATCCCGTTCTCTCAAAAACTGCCATTAGGAAGACTTGATAACCCCAAACAGAAACCACCCCCTACCCTTGGTTCTCATGCCACGGCAGTTAGCATCACGCAATATAAAGAGCATTTGTTGACTGATCCTACCCATATCCTGACCCACTGCTTCAGCAACTGCACTGAACCTTCTCAGGTGTAAATAGCTAGTGCCTATTTGATCATTAAAGCAGGATGCAGGAAAAATAAAGATTTCCCTTTACTTCGCCGTAGTAGAATTGGCACTGATTGCGGTATTTTAATCGGTTCACACCGTCTGTTAGTGTATTCTAATGAACCACAGCATCTCCGGAGCAACACTTACGGTCTCTCGTCCCCGGAGGCAGTGTCTCCTGGAAAGTTCCTGGGGCACCAAGTTTGCGCGCGGCTCCTCGCGCTCAGGGTGCGCGCAGCCAGCCCTGGCGCGGGCGGAAAGGCGAGCGCGCTGAGCGGCGCGCAGACCCCGGGCGCGGCTCTTGCTGGGCGCCCGCGCCTTGATCGGTCCCGGCGGTCCCGTTCCCCTGCTTGCCGGGCCCTGGTGCTAGGACAGCGGCGCTGCGGAGCCCGGCGTCTGGAGCTGGCGGGCGGCCGGATGCGCCGATCCTCTCCCGGGGGGTCAACTGCGAGCTAGACGCCCAGCCGGACCTCAGAGGCTCCAAGAGCGGGGTTGGCGGGTGTGGCCCGGCAGCAGAGGGTTTTTGGAATGCAGGGTGTGGCCCTCTACCACGGCAAAAAAGAAATGAGTCAGCCCGTTCAGTCCTAACCAATAAGCATGTTCAGTGTCGGTTAAGGCGGAACTTTCCTTTCTTGATTTATACCAAGCTTAGAAGCCTTTCACAGCCTTTTCTTTACGCCTTTGACAACTTCGACACAACTTCTAGAAAAGGGTAGGTTGCCTTTGAAAACGCTTGGGAAACAAGGATTAATCTTACGAAAGATACTTCAGTGGATGTACATTAGTTTCGATTAGTAAAAGTTTTTGAGTTAGGCAGAGATACTGGGTGCAAAGAGGTGGGACCTGGTATCAAAGCAGATTTGGATCAGACCTCTGACACTGTGTGGCCTTGAGTAAGTTAATTATCATCAATGAGGGGGCTAAAATGCCCACCTAACAGTTTACAGATTACAACAGTCCCCCCATATGCAGTTTCTCTTTCTGCTGTGTCCGTTACCCCGCCCCTTCAGTTGCAGTCTGAAAATATTAAATGGAAAATTCTAGAAATAAGCAATGCATAAATTTTAAATTTCATGTCATTCTGAGATTGTTAAAATTGTTATATTTTATTATTAGTTACTGTTAATCTCTTACTGTGCCTAATTTATAAGTTAAACTTCACCATAGGTATGTATAGGAAAAATCATAGTATATATAGGGTTCAGGACCATCGAGATTTCAGGCATCCACTGGGGGCTTTGGAACATACATACCATCTGAAGATAAGGGGGGAACTACTGATTATGTAACAATGCATGCAAAGCATTTACCACAGTGCTGGACAAAGAGTAGGCACTCAAAAAATGCTGTCTTGTCCCTCTGAGTCCTGAATCCGAATCTCCAAAATTGTAAACAAACTGGCTCGTAATTTTCAAAAATTCTTTCCTATGTTAAATATCTAAAGAATTTTAGAGCTGAAATAGTTCTCTGGTATTCCCTGGTCTGAGTCCCTCATTTAAGTGGTGAGAAACTTAAGAAGCTTTAGGTTCAGGATTCTTGAATTTGGTATTCTTACTATACAATAGAAAGTTTATTGGTAGCAAATAGGCTTAAAATTGGAATGATTTCATTTAGGTCACAGGTGAACCTACTTTTAAAAAAGTAAGAGTGATTTGTGGAAATATTCCATCTGAGTCACTGTGCCCTAAACATTATTTTGTAATAAAAATACTTAAAAGAAACTTTATTTGGGAATTGGCAAATTACAGGGGGCTGCAGAAGTGCTAATTCCTGAGGTCCCATTAAGAAATGAGTTGATTGCTATTGCCAAAAGAGAATTTCTAGATGGGAAGAAAAAAATGTTAAGTTACAAATTAAACGTTCTTTGCTTTGGAGATCTCCTGAGCAAAGATCTCTTTGGAGATCTTTCTCATACATGTTTAGAGTCATTCCACAGGCCAAGGTTTCTTGAAAATACTCATTAGCCAAAGATAAGATCTAAAGTGAGATCAGCAAAATGCTGTTCTTTTCTCCAAAGCAGCACGGGAGAGTGGAAAGAACACTGCACAAAAAGCCAAGAGCTCCCTTCCTAGTCTCAGCTCTGCCAGTAAGTGACAGGGTGAACTGACTGCTTCATCTCTCTCTGAGGATCTCTAAGAGTGTTTCCAGTTGGAAACCAAACTATGGTCAAAAGAGCAGAAGCAAGATCGGCCTATAGCCTCACATTTATCCTTAGCAACAGGTACTTAAGTTGGGCCTGTCTCCTAGATGATGAAGCTGTCAAATCTCTCTTGACTCTCATATTCCTCATAAAGGTAATGTTACTCTCCTAGACACTTCAAGTTAAATTCTGGAATCATCTGAGCTCCCTCTTTTCTCTCTTAATGGTTCACTACCAATAGGCGTAACATGAAGGCTTCTTTCATATCTGGACCATTTTTTCCATTCCTGGTTCAGGCATTCGTCCCCTCTGCCTGAGTCACTGAGGTTGAGTGTCTTCTAGCCGCTGTTCCAGCAGGCGGGCCCCTCCCTCTATGCCTCTCAACACATCATCATCATCATCACATGACAAATGTCAAAGTCGAGCATGCCATCATGTCATAAACCTTTTCCTCTCAGTCAATTAAATAATTTTATAGTAGAGATCAAAAGGAACACAATTTGCTTTACGGGCAGCTTTCCTCAAACATTCATGTAAATTAATGTGTATTTTTAAGAGCACTGATATTTTATATTTATGTAATTGTTACAATGAGCTATACTGGCTGAACTGATAATATGTTGGCTATTATATCAAGGACAGCAGCTCTTTTACATGAGAAGACTACATAAAGCTTAAGTGTATATGAACAACTCCATAAACTTAACACTGCAGTCTAAAAAATACAATTGTGTTTGTGTGTGTGTGGACACAGAGAGATACTTTGAGATCTATGATGGAGAAAGGGAAAGGCAGCACAGACAGGAAAGAGAGATGATCTAGTTTGTTAGTATTGTTTAGGATCCAGCCAAGCTTAACATTCAGAGTAGGTGTTCTCTCCAGGAAGAAGGAAGGCTTCATAAATATGTTTGGCTGCAATCATAACTCAAAGCACTTGAAAGATGTTTCCAATAATCCTTATGCTTCAGAAATAAGAACAACACAATGACCAATGTGGTTAGAACATTCCCACAAGAGAACAGGATAACTGGTTCTAGGATGCCTTTGTTGTCTAAAATTAAAATTTAAAGTACACGGATTCTCAACATATAGTTATCAAAAAAAAGTGACGGTGAAACTACGGGTCCAGTGCCATGACATTTATAGGCACTCAAAGCCTTGCCTCTACCTCTGCAACCCCGATCTTAAAAACCCTCTGCCAAATAACCCGCTGGTCCACTCCTTGTTCCCCTAAAGCTGAGGGCACATTACTACCACCATACCTAGGGATAGTGAGTGCTTACCATTTTATGTTGCCTTGACATCCACTTTAAATATAGGTTTAACTTTCTCAGAATCAGGGCTCAGTCACCCTTGACAGTTTCAAATTCCATTCCCCACCTGAATGGCTCCCACTGGTGGCAGGAAATAAAACTGAAGAGACCCAAGTCCTGCCTAGCAGGCTGGGCTCCTCACTTTCCCACCACTTCCTTAAACAGACCGTTCAGACATTTGCTTGCAAATTTAAACTGACCACCTCTCAGTCACAACAGGACCTCCTGGAACTAGCACCTGCTTGCTTTAAACCTACCAATTAAAGCTCCCCTTAGGAAACATATTTGGATAACACACTGGACCCTAATAAGATGGTGGCCCATGGGTCTCTTTATCTCTGCCTGTGCTCCCTGGCCTATGTAGTGGAGACGGTGGGGGCCTCCGAGTGTGCCATGTACACTCGAGGGTCTAAAAATTCTTAACTTTCACATTGTAGTTGGGAGCCATGCTCATCCCTGGTGGAGAGGCTGCCCCAAAGGGACCCATGCAGGTGGCTCCCATGTTGGTGCTCTTTAGTCCAGGCCTCTCAGCTGCTGGGTGGTTACCAGCTAAGGTGACAGAGTTTCATTCAAAGCACTAGGCTCACACCATGCCCCCTGCCTGACAACCTTCTTGCATTCTTTTTAGTACATATCCCATTCCAGACCACTGAAACCCTTTCTTCTCCTAGAACTTTTGTCACTGGCAAAAGCCCTGGGGAATCTCTCCTCTCCTCCAAATACCTACAGATCTTATTCTTTATACTTCCATTTCACAACTAACATAGGATCTTAGCATCCTTCCTTCTTTTTGAGATCCCTGACCTTTCACTCTCAGCAGACAGTGGAAATCCATCTGAGGTAGACGTGTTTCCGAGCATCTGTATCCCCCAGGGCCTAGCAGATTCTGCATAAATAGTCATTGTTGTGAATATAATGATGCTTAAGTTATATAACAGCCACAAAGGAGAAAAGAAAACGTTCCCTTTGACTGCTGACACATCAAGAATAAACAAATATTATAGCTGTTCAAACCAGTTGGCAAGCAGAACCCAAGCAGCAGATGCGTTTCTGTGCTCTTTGTGGCATGTTCCAACAATACAGAATGCTACTGAGACAGCAAATCTGATACTTCCTAAAAGGAAGTGGAGTTTACAAAACAGAGTTTTCATGTAAAATCCCAGTTCCCCAAACACGAATCCACTGTGGAGAACAGAAGCAACAAGTCATTCGATCTTCCCTTTCAAGTAAGGAACACATAGATACATATTTGATAATCTTGCCAAAGTACCAATTCCTCCTTAAATGTAAACATCACTCTCAACCACAAACATCTATTTACCAACAGGTGCTCCTAACCATAATGGTAGCAAAGGACAGTTCTTCAAGACAATTCATAAATCCTAGAACTGTCATAGGTATACATTTATTATATGGCATTTGCATTATATGACATCATAGGTATATAAAAGTTTTACATTTGCATTAGAGCAAGCCTCTGTCAAAAGAGCCGTTACCACCCGCACACACATTCATTCACTGGTATCCTTTGATTAGCATTAGCATATTTCTGCTTTGATGACAGATGGGGAAAAAAACACTACCACTGTTCTCAAAAGGCTGTGTCTGTCCTGCTATGCAACTAAATACTTTATTAAAATTGCCCATGACAAAAGCACTGACTTTCTAAATAACTACTCCAAGTATAAACAAGCAAATGAATTAGTCAGCAGTGTTTAACTTGCAGGTAACAAAAATGGCACTTGAGGCATCACAGGCAAAAGCAAGGTGAGCCACATTGGCTCTAAATATCCCAGCAACGGGAAAGCCACAGGGGCAGCTGGGCACTAGGATCAGCTCAACACGAATTGCACCAGGACAAGATAGCATCTTTGCTTCTGGTGTTTTATCATTGGCTTTATTCTTCATTCCTAAAGTGTGCCTTTTCCCACTTAATTTAGCTCTGCATCCAAGAGAGACAATTCCTCCTTTCACAGTTGTAATTTTAAAAATTGCCAGAAAAACTCACTGGTCCAGTTTGGGGCCATGT
Source organism: Homo sapiens (assembly GCF_000001405.40). Lineage (NCBI taxonomy): Eukaryota > Metazoa > Chordata > Mammalia > Primates > Hominidae > Homo > Homo sapiens. Next base: position 50,423,396 of record NC_000010.11, read on the forward strand.
ACCCATACAGACTGGCTGGTCTATACTAGGACCACCTGGTTGGATTGGTGAGAGGAGCAGTAAGTTCTCTAGAAGAAAACGGGTTTAATTCTCAGAAGCAGAAGGAAGGTCTGGTTTGCCCCAAACACATCATCACCTATCAAGAAATTCCAAGCCATCCTCAACCAGGTAATAAATTACATTCTAAAAGTTCACTTCTAGAGTCAAAAGTCAATGAACTCTTCTTAGACAAGGTGGCATGGGAAAAAAAAAAACTAAGTGCACGAACTCTTATATAACACTTGGAATACATTTCACTTGACACAAGATGTCTCTAGCGTAGAGGCCAGCTTCTCTGGCCAGTCCTTAAAAACCTGTTTAACTCATAATTTAATGAAATTATATGTCAATGAAATATAATGCTGAATAATATTTCTAATACTGTACTCAAACTCCATTCATGACATTGTTCCTAAAGGAAAATGTATTTGAAATTCCATTTAGAACAAGAAAAACATGCTCAATTTAATCCATTTACCGAGTACCTACTAATGACAGCAGCTTTCATTTCATACACATTATTTTACATTTAATCCACATACAACACTGCAAGGCAGATATTAACAACTACACTGAACGCGCAAAGAAACAGGGAGTCAAGAATGCTATATATGTCCAAGGTAAATCATCAAGACAAGTCAGAGCCAGCTGTACAGCCATGTTTGTCTGACCTGAAAGCTGGGACTATTGTGTCTAATACAAAGAGCAGCTAGATAGGGGTGGGCTCACAGATGAGAAGATTGAGAGCGAATGTATCAGACTCCATGTAAATACCTAAAACGTGAAGGAACTAGAGGGCAGTCACAGTCACTAGCCAGATTTAACTTTCTATTTCTTAAAAGAAGGTACTTCTCTATGGCTGAATAAAGAAAAATATTTCTCTAGGTAGGCTTTAAGCTACCTGATGCTTGTACTTACATGAAGATCATTTGAAAATCAATGATTTATCAATAGTATCTTCATAAAAAGTGTCTTTTGCCTGTTAAAAAAAGAAGGTACTATCTATATTAAAATACCTGTCTAAAGTGTTTTAACCTAGGAAATATCCTGGACATCGGCCTTGGCAAGGAATTTATGACTAAGTCCTCAAAAGCAATTGCAACAAAAGCAAAAGTTGACAAGTGAGAACTAATTAAAGAGCTTCTGCACAGCAAAACAATCAACAGAATAAGGAGACAACCTACAGAATGGGAGAAAATATTTGCAAACTACGCATCTCACAAAGTTCTAACATTCAGAATCTATAGGGAACTTAAACATTCAACAAACAAGAAACAACCCCATTAAAAAGTAGGCAAGGAACATGAACAGACACTTCTCAAACAAAATTAGTCGGGCATAGTGGCACATGCCTGTAATCCCAGCTACTCGGGAGGCTGAGGCAGGAGAATCACTTGAACCCAGGAGATGGAGGTTGCAGTGAGCCAAGATTGCGCCATTGCACTCCAGCCTGGGCAACAAGAGCGAAACTCCGTCTCAAAAAAAAAAAAAAAAAAAGGAGAAGACATATGAGCACAGCCAACATACATACAAAAAAAATGATCAGCCATCACTAATCATCAGAGAAATACAAATCAAAACCACAATGAGATACCATTAATCACAATGGCTATTATTAAAAAGTCACACCAGTTAGAATAGCTATTACTAAAAAGTCAAAAAATAATGTTGGCAAGGTTGCAGAGAAAAGAGTATGCTTATCCACTGCTGGTGGGAATGTAAATTAGTTCAGCCTCTGTGGAAAGCAGTTTGGAGATTTCTCAAACAACTAAAAATAGAATTACCATTTGATCCAGCAATCCATTACTGCAAATATACTCAAAGGAAAATAAATCATTATACCAAAAAGACAGATGCATTTATATGTTCAATGCAGCACCATTCACAATAGCAAAGACAGGGAATCAACCTAGGTGCCCATCAATGGTAGATTGGATAAAGAAAATGTGGTACATACATGCCATGGAATACTACACAGGCATAAAAAAGAATGAAATCATGTCCTTTGCAGCAACATGGATGGAGCTGGAGACCATTATCCTAAGTAAATTAATGCAGAAACAGAAAACCAAATACCACATATTCTCACTTATAAGTGGGACCTAAACATTGGGTGCACATGGATATAAAGATGCGAACAACAGACATTGAGGATTACTAGACAGGGGAGGGAGGAAGGGAGGCTGAAAACCCACCTATTGAGTACTATGCTCGCTACCTGGATAATGGGATGAATTGTACTCCAAAACTCAGCATCACACAATCTACCCATGTAACAAACCTGCGAATGTACCCCGGGTCTAAAATAAAAACGGAAATTTTTTAAAAAGCCGTGAATATTTAAACATGTTTTGTAGATCAGGTTGGCAAGAATGAATGAGTCTGACATTTCTCATTACATTAATCTGAGGTGTGCAAGTTAAAACTCTTTTTTTCCCTGAACCTGTGGCAATGTGTATGAAAAGAAAAAGTATGCATCCCTTTAATTATATCTGGAAATATATCCAAAAATATATGTACAAAGATATTCATTGATATATCATCTGTAATAGAGAAAACAGGAAACAATCTAAACATACATCACCAGGATATTAATTAAAATAGATATGATATCATAAAATGGAGTGGTATGTATTAAAAATTACAATATTGATTTAGAGAATGTGCTGTAGCACATTGTTAAGTGGATAAAAATGATTTAATGAAAAACAAAAGTAAAAAAAGATTCACCAAAATGTTAACATAATCTGGGGGAGATTTTCTACTTTCTTTACATTTTTCTGTGTTGCTTGAATTTTCCAAAATGAAAGTATTTTTCGTTTATAAAAAAATGTTTTAAGAGAAAATTAAAATTGGAAAAAAACAACTACCATTAATATGACTCAGGTCTGCCAATATAAATGCAATGGACACATTTATCAACATTAATGGTATTTCATACCTTTAAAAAATCTGGTTGTGCAGTATTTAATAGATACAAGTGAATACAGTTACCTATTTGGTATGAAATGTAGTATTAAAGTCATACCCATGAAGTTACCACCCATCCTATGAAGCAGACCTTACTGAAACATGGCAGCTCTCTGAGTTCACCTTCCCTTGTCTAACTGAGGCTGACAACCATTTCTTTCTGTACATGCTGGACAACAAGTTTGAAAGCCCCTGGTCCAAGATGTGGCTTTAATAATAAATTAACCCTGTGCCTTTTGACATCAAAGTAGAATTGTGGTCAGAAGTAATGAAACAGAAAACACCAGAATTCAATCAGGAAGAAAGGGGAACAGCTAAGTCATACATTGGCTTGACATAGAAACCACTAGTCAGACAGACCTCTATGAGCTATTGATTTCACTCCCTACTCCAAAGCCAGGACTTGTCACTAGTAAAATGAAATTAAGTTGGATTGCCTTGACACATGTCAGGTAGTAAGACACGGAGATCTAAAATTGCGAGAGAACAACTCCAAATTATTCCAAATTGAAATAATGGGAAAAAGCACCCCAATTAACAATGAACTCCATTTCATACATCATAGAAAAGAGAACCACTAACTTGAAGGGAAACAAAAATAATCAAATCAAAGAAAACAATAGAAATTTACTAAGAACTTTGTTGTAATAGTATGTTAAGCACTTTATAACAGAAAAAATTAATGTATCATCTGTGAAATCAAAGAACTTACGGCCGGGCACAGTGGCTCATGCCTGTAATCCCAGCACTTTGGAAGGCCGAGGCGGACAGATCACGAGGTCAGGAGATAGAGACAATCCTGGCTAACATGTTGAAACCCCGTCTCTACTAAAAATACAAAAACATTAGCCGGGTGTGGTGGCGGGCGCCTGTAGTCCCAGCTACTCCGGAGGCTGAGGCAGGAGAACGGCATGAACCCGGTAGGTGGAGCTTGCAGTGAGCCGAGATGGCGCCACAGCACTCCAGCCTGTGTAACAGAGCGAGACTCCGTCACAACAACAACCAAAAAGAACTTACAATGTGTGTCAAAGAAAGAACATATACCCTAAACTAGTGAATGAGTCAGTATAAATTGACTGAAAACTACAAATTGAGAACACAGCAGTCTAGCATGTAGTACAAATTAAATGGCACAGTAAATACAAGCTAAGGAAGGGGGGAAAGAGAAGGTAAGCTGAACTAACCAAAAGCAACGACACTTAACATTTTAAGTCGACATACAACAAAGTGGGGACACTACATAAACAGGTCACTGAGGATCAAAGCACACCCTTTATCAGCACCCAACATTGTCTACCTTGTTGGATAGCTACTTGAATAGACAGCACCCACACCATACTCTTCGATTCCTGAAGGCTGGGTCCAGGGCTTGGGTTATTTTAAACCTCCAGAAATCCACACTTTGACATGGGATATGTTCTACAAACATTTATAGAATTCAAACCTTATTTGAATTGTTAAATTCTGATGAAGGTTGACATCTTCAATGAAGGAGAAAGACAGCAGTGGAACAGTTGATAGGGAACTCTATCCCTCGAGATAAAAAGGAGGCTAAGCTGCGTGTGAATGAGAGAGAGAGAGAATGTGTGTGTGTGTGTGCATGTGTGTGTATGTGTGTGTATTAGGCCTGAAAGAGGGAGGATGGTGCCTAAAGGGAGAAAAAAGAGTAGATCAGTTTAGGCTAACTTATACTGCAGGAACAAAATGTCCTCAAATTTTGGAGGCTAACAATGGAGTGAGGCTTAATACTAGTTCCTGTCTGGCTCCTTGCAGATAAGCTGTGGACATGGAGTCCACTCCATGTCCTCTTCACTCAAAGACCAGGGCAGAAGGAGCACCCCTAACTGGCGCATGATAGTCCCATGGCAAAGAAAAGAGAAAGATGGCAGAGCAGGCCATACCTATTAAAGTGTCTTCTCAGAAATGACACAAATTATTGTCACTGACATTTCACTGCCAAAATAAATCCTAGAGGATTTATTTGGCCAAGCTAGCCATGGGGCATCAGCCTTCTGTAGAGTAGGAGAGTATAATCCTTTCACAGGGATGGAAGGTGGGCAGAAAGGAGCAGCAAGTGTTCTGACAATAATATGAGCTGCCACAAAAAGAATGGAAAATGGCTAGAGCTGAGCTTTCTTCCCCCCGTAATGATAGAAGCTGTCCTGTTATAAAAAGCAGCCCCTCCATTTCTGTGGTACTTTATGCTGTTCTCATAATCTTTCAGATACTGTCTTACTATCTTTACAACTATCCTAGCAATGTTTCAAGGCCTCAGCAGTGCCTGAACTACAACACCAAATCTGGTACTCTCTCACCCACCTTAGGGAAGTCAGCCTTTCAGTCACCTGCAAAATGCAGATAATCCCAGATGCTTCCTAAGAAGACTGTTATGAGACTAAGTACAATGATTAACAGAGGCTCCCCAATTTAGGAAAAGGTTACATCCTAATAAACCCATCATCAAAAATGCATTTACTACACCTAACATACCTAACACCATAGCTTAGCTGAGCCCACCTTAAACATGCTCAGAACACTTACGTTAGCCTAAAGTTGGGTAAAATAATCCAACAAAAAACCTATTTATTCAAGTATTGAATATTGTTTTTAAATTATTGAATACTGTACTGAAAGTTAAAATAGAATGGCTGTATGGGTACTTGAAGTATGGTTTCTACTGAAGGTGTATTGCTTTTGCACCATCATGAAGTCAAGAAATCATTAAGTCGAATCATTGTAAATTGGGGACTGTTTGTATTTAAAACACACAAGCACAGACAGGTATAGTCATGCACTGCATAACAATGTTTTGGTCAACAAGGGACACACAAAAGGCAGTGGTTCCGTAAGATTATATTTTTCCTATACTTTTCTATGTTTAGATACACAAATACTTACCATTTGGTTACAAGTGCCTATAGTATTCAGTAGAGCAACATGCTATACAGGTTTGCAGCAGCCTAGGAGCCACAGCCTATACCATATAGCCTAGGTTTGTAGTAGGCTACACCATCTAGATTTGTGTAAGTACACTCTATTATGTTGACACAACAACAATATTGCCTGAGGACACATTTCTTAGAACATAGCCTCATAATTAAGCAACTCAGTAAATATAAGGCATTACTATTATTAAATTATGACATGCATCCCCAAACTCACTTCTTTTCCAAATTGTCCTTAACTTTTAATTATAAAGAATTTGTTAAAATTCATTAAGTGTAGAAAATAAATTAATGAACTTTCCTTCACTTTTAAAAACCTCTACTCTTATAGTTTTTTCTACACATACACACACACACACACACACACACACACACACACACACACACACACATACTCTTTTCTCATGACTTCAATTACTTGTTTATGTCCTGGTTAGTTTCTTAAATCTCTCAAGAATTTTAAAAGATCTATTCTTTCTTGAGCATTTGGAACTATTTTATTTCTTCCCCAAATAAGAAAAATTAAGAACAATTGAAGCTATTCAGGGTCATTCATTTAAAGTATAACATAGATTCCAAAATGACACCCAACTAAGAATAAATTAAAGGCTTGGTATCAAAGACCCTCTATTTTCTTTTTCTAGCCCTAATTAGCAGTATTATCTTCTTTTCATTCTACTAAACTATAGTTCTAGCCTTTTCCCAAAACATGATCTTCCTCTACCATCTCTGTTCAGACTGTTCCTTTCTGCTCAAACTGTTCCTTCTACCTAGAGTGTCCCCTAAGCACTCCTCCCAACTCTGTTCAAAGGTCTCATCCAGATAACTGAATGAGTGCACCATGATGTTACCAAAGATGTTCATTACAGCACACTTTACAAAAATGAAAAGTTGAAAACAAAAATGTCCAGTAATATGCAACATTATAGACTACGTACACATGGAATGCTATATATTATGTATACATCTACAATTATGTAGATGTATATTTATTGCTGTGGCATCATCTTACTATATTGTCAACTGAAGCCGATTTCAAAACAATAGTAATAACCAGACCCATTTTAGAGGGAAAATAAAGCATGTATCTAATCTCGGCATAGAAAAGTATGGCAGAATACAAAAAAAAAAAAAAGCAATGTTAATTGTTAGCATTTTCACTGCCATGCAAAATAGTTTTGCAAATGCAAAATAGTTTTTGCATTCTAAAGTTCTATCCAATTAGCAATGTTAACTTTTATAGTTTCATAAAAGGTACTTTAATAAAAAGGCATTAATCATTAAATATCTAATCCACATATCATCTGCTCCTGAATCTCATCCCTGATCTAGCCCACTCCTCTTGCCACCCAGGTAATTTCTCTTTCTCTTCTGTTTTCTGAGTATTTTATATGTCTTTTATAATACCTACCACATTCAGTTTGAAATTATAGTTTTCTCTTTTCAGGTTTGATTATCAATTCCTAAAGTGCAATAAGTCTGTCTTATTTGTACTGAAATGTATCGTCAAAAGCAACGAGTCCCAAGTATCTAGTAAACATATTTTTGTTTATATCAACAAACATGAGTTTGTTGATATGAACATAATGCAACGCTATAAAATTTGCGCATCTAAAGACTATACACATAGCATCTCTCTAATGAAGAAATCTTCTATACAAGGGATGTTTGGAAACCACATAAGGCCCATTCTGTTAAGAGAGATGATAATATAAGTCAGAATGTTATATCTATAATAAAATTTCTGTATTAAATTATTATTTCCATGTTTGCTTTCAAAGTACAAAGACACACTTATTTAAATTAAGCCAAAGGTAATTATTTCATAATCCAAAGGCAAGTCTCTCAGATTTTAACCACGAGCTTCCTCTTGAAATGAACACAGATTACTTTTGCAGTAATCCAAGTCCATCCCTGACTCAGCGGGAACTATAAATACCTTTTGTTTTAAGAGGAAATCGGGGAAATGAATGTTTTACAATTATGTAAGTCTGATTCAAAGAACTGACACAAGCAAATGTTTTGAAATATCCAAGGCATTTTTGTAAGGTTCAATAAAAAATGTGTTTTGAGAACTAGGTGGGTGAGATTTAAAGTAAAAACAACAAACACAATCTTAGCTGTTACTTAGCAATTTCAGGGTTCGATTGCTTCCTTCTAAAGGGCAAGTTAGAAAACTGAAGAAGTTGCTTCTAGAAGAAACATTGAGATGTCTGATCTGGTTTCGTTTTTTTCCTCCATTTCACTCCCTAAGATTTTAATCAAGCCAAGATGAACCTTAAACTGCCCAGGTTTTGTTTTGTTTTTACTCTCTCCCTAGAGGCAATTGGGTTTCCATTAAAACTTAATTTTGAATCAAAAGCAAAGCTGCATGGAATGCTTAGTTGGGAGGAATCCTGACTACTTGTCTCTGTAGCACCACTACCTGAAGGAATTTAAGATTTGAAGGAATATGGGGAAGGGAGAGAAGGAAGTTCAATAGGCAGTGAGCAGAATGACTGATCGCCAATACTAGCACTTGGAGATCAGTTTAACAGCCAGAATAGGCAAGCGATGCCAGGGGTCAGTTATGAAGCTGAGTCAACAACTCAAGAAACTGTTCTAAATTCTAAATTGGTTTTGGCATCTATTTTCAATTCCAGAAACAATATGAGCATGACAACTTGAGTTACAGCAAGCACTGACTCAAAACCAAACCTTGTTTTTATTCATCAAATGAAACTCTTACCACCACGGCTGAGGCAGATAATTAAAGAATTGTGGCTTAGAAATGTCTTCACAACAGGAAACCTACAATTAGTGGTGTATTAGAGCCAACTTATACCAGGCCACTAGAACCAATTGTTAAATTCTCAAAATTTTTAGCAAGCTGGTTGTTAAACACAGTCATTATTAAAAGTTAAATTATATAAACAAAATTAAAATAAATCATACTAAAAACAAAGGTAATAAATACTCAAATCTCATCACTTCCTATTATTTTACTGTTAAGCATGCTCTTGAGGTGATTTGTAACTACTGTATCTGGTTGGTAGAAACTATATAATGCTGTGCTACTACATAAGACTTCCCAGCCTCGCTTTCAGTGACTTTTGCTGGTAGTTTAAAATGAGCCAGCCACAGCAGTGGTACTTACACAATGGAAACCTGCAAACATGACAACCCCTCCTTCTGACATTGCCAGCTTGTTAACATCTACCTGCAGATACTACCTATAATGTTAATCACCACAGCTTGGCAATAGGTAAGGAACTTGAGCTGGCCAATCTTTTGAGATAGAATAAAGGCCTATAGATTATAAATCATGACACAAATATAAGGAAGAAAAGTAAATATGATTTATTGTGCCAGTAACTATACTGTGCCAGTCATAGCACAAAGTACTTTCCACAAACTTTAATTTTATGAGAGATAGTATCAAATCCAATATACAGATGAGTTGACTAAGGTTCTGAGAGGTTGAGTAACTACTAAAAAGCACAAGAGCAAGAGTGAGGCCTAGGATTGTCTGACTCAAAAATATATGATCTTTCCACTAAGCTACCCCACTTACTAACATTATTGTTATCACAGTGAAACCAAAATCAACCATATGTAACTGTCAGATAATTAGCAAACATTAATAGCCTCTGATGTACATAAAAGTAGCATACATGAAGAGGGATATGGAGAAGATGTAGACAAAGAACTCAATTTTAATCATATTCACCAAATTTGTTCATATTTACTTCAAAATATGCCCACAGAAAAAAATACGTGAGTGAGAAATGGAGCCCAAGGAAACCACTAGGACCAAAAATATCTGCATATCCTAAGGGTTATTCCAAGCTTAATTTAAATGCTGACCATGTGCAGGGAATTCTCTTAATTCTTCAAATACTTATGCTCTGTCCACCAAATTGACACACTCAACTTAAAATGACACACCCTATCAAGAAAGAAGTACGCAAAATAAGATTTATCAAAGTTAGCATCAATTGTTTGACGTGTTTGGATATTTACTTTATAAAATAGTTTCTCTTTTGCACTCAAGTTAGTTGATTGTGCTATCCTTTTACCATGGTTCCTTAAAGAAAATTTACCCAGTAGTTAAAAGAATTCCAAAAGGCCAAGAACATTAACTTACGGATTATTTAAAAACATTCTGGTCATCTTGGCTTCCTATAAGCTACCAGCTTCTCCCATTGTTCCAGTACAGTTCCATCACCTGTCATAAGCAGAAAGAATCTAATTAGTTACATGTCTCAGAAAGGCCATTTCTTGATTTCCACTAGTTAGTCTCTTCTTCACACACAAGACATAGAAAAGTCCAGTCATCTCTTCTCTTTTTTACCAAAAACAAAAAGGAAAGAGAAAATAGCAACACAGAAAATTACCTTAAGAGAAAAAAAATTTTAAGAGCAGTATTTCCACTATGAAGGATTGGGGTGGTGAACCCTTAAAATTTTGCCCTCCATTATGTTTTCAGGAAGAGATACCTAGTCTGTTTCCCAGGCGGCAACAGTATTAGAGTAACCCACCTTCTCTCTCCATCTCTCCTCCCTAACCCCTTCTTACCTCTCCTCAAAAGTGAAGGATTAATTTGCCTGGAAGGACTAAACGAGACACCAAATGATTTCTTGGCCCTGCTCTGAGCCAGGCAACAAAGGCCTCCCTCCAGTCACACACGCTTTGATCCAACAAAGGCATTATACCAGAACTATGGACACCTAATGCTTAATGATCAGAATTGCTACATTGTCCACATGTCCAGTTCAACAACTACTGGAGGATTCATATAATTCACAGAATAATAAAATATGGCCAGCAAAGGGCCTTCCTTTTTCCAAGAAGAAGTCATTCAGAACAATGTGTTTACTTTTGTTTTTCCATTTCTTAGCATTTTAGAATAAACAGGCTAGAAATAGAACTTTTTGCTTTCTTTCCCTTCAGAGAAGGGCCCCAAATAAAAATACCCGACTTTTACCAGCTAGAATGCAACTATTGCTCATGTTATGTGAAGAACGTGTGGCTCCAAGAAGACAACATTGATAAAACAGGAACCTAAATTAACTTTCATCACCTGAGGCCTCAATGTTAATTCTGAGATGAGATTAATAATTGTGATATGGCTCCATGCATGCACTGAGGTACCATGAGAGGCAGTGTCACCTCAGTTACCTGAACCATAGACAGAAACCTCAAGTTACCCAAAGCATAAAGGGACAGGGCGGTGTTACGGAGATTAAGAAAGGAGGAGATGATTGGCCAGCAGTGGTGGCTCACGCCTCTAATCCCAGCATTTTGGGTGGCTGAGACGGGCAGATCACAGGGTCAGGAGATCGAGACCATCCTGGCTAACACAGTGAAACCCTGTCTCTACTAAAAATACAAAAAAAAAAAAAAATTAGCCAGGCGTGGTGGCGGGTGCCTGTGGTCCCAGCTACTCAGGAGGCTGAGGCAGAGAATGACGTGAACCCGGGAGGCGGAGTTTGCAGTGAGCCGAGATCACGCCACTGCACTCCAACCTGGGCGACAGAGCAAGACTCCGTCTCAAAAAAAAAAAAAAAAGACAGGAGGAGATGGAACAAACACCAAATAAATAAATATAGAGATCTTCTCTAATAATAAAGAAAGAACTTGTCAGCCTCAATAAAAATAGCAAGGAAGAACTGAGGAGTCAAAGATCTAAAAATTATACCCAACACTAAGAGGAACAGATTCATTGGCTAGCTATGGCTTTATATGCCTGGCCACTGACATGAGGCTCTTTACATGAATGAGAAACACAGTAAGGTTTGATACAGGTTTAAAATAAACAGGTTTGAACCCCATCTGTGCTGTTTAATAGCAGTGTGATCTTTGCCAAGTAATTTATTCCTTCTAAGGCTCAGTTTCCAAGTCTGTAAAATACATACAATAATACATACCTTGCAGAGTAGTTATATAACTTAAAGATGATATATGCACTGTGTCCATCATACAATTAGTTCTCAAAAGATTACTGCAATTACTGTGCTCACTAGTGCAACTATGGTAGCAAGACTATTAAATTCATGATTACAATTGCAATTATGTCCATTAAATTCACAGACTCTTTCCTGATGAGACCATTCTGGAAAGAAGTTCTAAATGTAACTTTTGACAACAATATAAAACTTTTCTAAGTTGATCTGATGAAATGTTCAATACAAATCTCCACCTTAGTTGACAGCCTTTATTAACATGGGCACACAGAAAGCTCTAGCTATGTCTTTGTTAGCATTCTTCATATCAATACTGAGCTTCTTTTTTTGATGATGAATTCCTGAAAAGAGGGAATGAATCACTTCCATTAGTGCTAATTCTTCTGGTGTACATTCTAATGCTGGGCACCACATCACAGACTCATAAGCAACAGTATGGATTTGTCAGTTATGTTAAAAACAAACAAACAAACAAACAAAAAAATACAAGATTCACCAGGTGAACGCATACTAACTTTAAAACAGAAGTGCCAGAACTTAATGTCTAAAAAAGTACTCCTTGACCCCTTCCAAGTCACCCTCTTTGGGACTCACTCCAGTGATGCTGACTGCTCAGAATAAGTACTCGTCTTTTACCTTCAGAACCAGTGTGCAATGTTCACAAGAACACGTGTGTCATTACAGTTTAGTTCCCTTTATTTGCTATAATAGAAAATATTTTAATAGATTAGTTCAAAGAATCAAATTCATCCTCAAAGATGGTAATTTAGCACCACTGTGGTTATTCAAAAGAATTATAAGCAACTTCAACAACCAACTTTTTTTTTTGAGACATAGTCTCGCTCTGTCGCCCAGGCTGGAGTGCAGTGGCACTATCTCGGCTCACTGCAAGCTCCGCCTCCCGGGTTCACACCATTCTCCTGCCTCAACCTCCCGAGTAGCTGGGACTACAGGTGCCCGCCACCATGCCCGGCTAATTTTTTTTTGTATTTTTAGTAGAGACGGGGTTTCACCATGTTAGCCAGGATGGTCTTGATCTCCTGACCTCATGATCTGCCCACCTCAGCCTCCCAAAGTGCTAACAACCAACTTTTTTGAACCACCCATTTGGTGGAAGACACTGTGCTCAGCAGTGGGAGTGGGGAAGGGGTTATAAGGTGATTGCGATGAAGTTCATTTAAAAGAATGCAGAACACTGGCGGTATCACTGGAATATAAGCAATTAGTTCAGCTGATGCACTTAAAAAGAACAATCTGGACGTATGAACCCTGGCTGTGATTGTTACAAGCCCAGCACTTCCTAATCGTGCTTCAAATACAATGTTAAGATTCCATAACAGTCATGGGAAAACCTGGCTCCTTTTCTGAATGTTCACTTTACACTCTAGGGCAAAGCTGAGCCTGCTACCCCTGGGTGGAAGAAGACTGGCTGGCATCAAAATCAAGAGCATTCAAGAGCTAATATGAAAATAAGGCTGGAGAAGTTGTGGGAAAAGTTCCTGTGGCCATGAGACACAGTTGTTTGATTCTTAGCCTCTTTCTCCAAATGATCTAGTTTACTAAGAAGAATTTGGGCTTCCTCTATGGGAGACAGTATCCCGTGGCCATGAAAGGTATGTGCGTTGCTGTCACACAGAACTATGTTCTGCAACTAAGCTCTGAAGACCTTGAGCATGTTGTGTAATTTCTGTAAGCCTCAGTTTCCTCATCTATAGAATGGGAGCGATATCAGTACAATAACCAGATGTTGTTATATGGGTTAAAAGACATAATGTCTATACACAATTTAATAAAGTTCATGGCAAACAGTAAACGCTTATTAAATGTTGTGCCATTGGAAAATGTACACTATCCTCATACTTTGGGGGCAATACAAGTACTAGGGTGAAGCCACAAAAAAAGAGGTATCCCAGTATGCTCAACAATGTTCCAGCCCACTTCACTAGGAGACCACAAAAGGGCTTGGGGTGATATCTCATGTAGCAATAAAGGGCAAATTGTCTGCTCTTACATCTGTGCATGTAACTTGGAAGCAAAATGAGAGTGGCAGCAGTATTCAGAGGCTTCTTGGCCAGTGGAAAATTCAGAAATGTTAACACCAGCCACACAGAAACAAAACTGAGTAACTTGCTCAAGATTACTTAGCTAATAAATGGCAGAAGCTGAAATTCAAGCCCACGCAGTCTAGCTTTAGTCTTTGTTCTTAACCACTATACTACACTGTGTCCCTGGCAAAGAGAAGGAACAATAACTAAAGACTAACTAAGACACAGGCCAGGAGCAGGCCATAAAAAAGCAAGAAACAGCACCCTACTGATGTCTGAAGAAAAGAGGAAGATAACACAAGAGTTACTGGGGCAAAAGAGTAAAAGCACCAAAACTGCTAATGATTCTAACCTGAAATTTACCAACACAGCCTTAGCAAGACATCCTAAAAGGATGGTATAGTGAAAGTGACCTGGTTTTGTAATTCAGTGCTTGCTTAAAGAGAATAGTAATCAGAAGACACAAAAGCTGAGAAGACCTCACTTTGGTCCTTTATAGAAGCCACACTATGATGTAGGAACAAATGTCTAGAGAAGAATGTGTCACATACCCCAAATGCCCACTGACAAGGAAGGGCCCCAGCAGCATGAGAGTTGCTTCCAAAGGCAGGGTTTCCTGCTACCTTTTCATTGCATTTCTACAGTAGAGAAGAGGAGGAAAAGCCACTCAGGGCTGTTGAATTCTCTGTAGGTCAGAAGGAAGGAAAAAAGCAGAAGGGATGAGAAACACGCTGCTATTAAGTAGGAGAATGGACAGAGAGGAGAGTAAGGATAAAGAGAAGCCATATTCTTGGCCAGTCTCAGATGTGTCAGACTCTAAAGTGGCCCCCTTGATCTCTGTCTCTTCCTATCTAGGCCTTGCCTAATTCCCTCGCCCTTTCAGGACAGGTTCTGTGACTTGCTTGTAGCCAATAGAATAAGGCAAAAATGACAGGATGTATGTGGGTACATTACATAAGATTGTAACATCTACTCTGCTACAAGTTTCTCTCTTGGTTTTGAAAGTGCAGGCTGCCATTTTGTGGGCTGCCTACTGAGAGAGCCCCATGAGGACAACCTCCAGCTGACAGCAAGAAACCAAGGCTCTAGTTAGAGAGCCCATGAGAAACTGAATCCTGCCAATCACACGGGCTTGGGAACAAATCCTCCTCCCATCCAGCCTCAGGTAAGACAGCAGCCATAGCTGATGCTTGACTGTGGCCTTGCTAAGTACCTTGCTAAGTCATTCCCAGACTCCCGACCCACAGAAACTGTGAGATAATTTTGTGATTGATTAAGCTGCTAAGTTTGTGCTAGATTGTTATGTAGCTATAGATAACTACTACAAAAGGGAGGTGAAGTTCATGTCCCTGATGTCACCACATGTCCTTCTGAGAGAGGAGAGGGGAGAAAGAGGAAGCCCCAAGAGCCAGGGTGAGCAATTCTGCCTCTACATTAGCACACACCCTCCAATTCAGTTCTCTCCAACTCAGACTCAGTTTCCTCCCTTAACACTCCATCCTATTCTTGTCATTTGGAGGATATAATGAAACATATTAGCCAAGGAAATAGCAATCGTATAAATGGCGATCAGGTTCCCTGGCTGGCCTGCAAAAGCTACTCAACATGCGAAACATGACACGTTTAGAACAGTAAGAGAACTGTGACCATTATATGAGCTATATTAAGACCCTATATGGCATACAATAATTTAAACAAAGGAATATTTAAAATGTGATAGATTGGACTTAAACACTGAATAAAACATGTTCCAAGAGACATGTTGGAGACTTGTTGGATTAGTGGTTTTGAGAACTGAATAAAAATTAAAACATCCAATTTTTATCTAAGTTTTTCTAATATGGGCGCCTTAAAAACCAAATGTAAATATTCTTAAATTTTCTCAGCAAGCACCTGTAGCTTTGACAAATCAAGTAACAATCATTCTCAACCACAGAGTATACAGCTAAAACTCACTCAATGAGCCAGAGACCTCTTATCTCAGCAGGCCATCTTTCCAAGCAGAAACTGGTAGGGAAATCCTACCATCAAATAATCTGAAAGCTGAGAAATGCTCATTAGTCTTCTAGTCCCAGCCTCTCAGTTGACAGATGATGACACATAGATCCAACGACTTTAAGTGACCTGTCCAGGGTCACTCAGCAGCACAATGCGGGCCTTCTGTTCCCAGGCTTCTTTATAATCAGACCTACCAAACTTTAGCTTCAACATGAGAGATGAAATCAATGGCATCAAAAATTCTGTTGGGGGAGAAAATAGGAACTAACATTTCATGACACTATAAAGCTCCTACAGTACTTCTAAAAACTAAGTTTTGTGGCAAGAGGGAAAAATAACACCATATAAACATTAATATGAAATGTTCAATCCAGTTTCAAAAGCAATGCACAATATTTTCTGAGTAAACTGAAATGCTCCCAAAATAGGCTGTCTTTTCTTCTGAATAATTTGCCTTTAAAAAAATGAATAGGGAAGAAAATTTTTCAAAGGCTGGCACAGAAACTTGTGCAAGGATGTCTACTCCACTGCTTTATATATCTCTATTCCTAAATTCGTCGATTCATTCAACAGGTATTTTGGGGGCATCTACAATTCCAAAGCATTGAGGTAAGTGCTGTATATAAGGAACCTATCTGGATACAAGCAAATGATGCTTACTAATATTTTCAGCACAAGTAACCACATCTAAACAAGCAAGCAATGCAGCAACAAAGATTTCTGGTATGTATTTTGGTAGGCTATTAGGAATGCAGACCACAGCTCTCTTTTCTTCTAGAAACTTCCATATTTAAAATAAATAGTAACTGGTTTTTCTGTGCAATGATATTGCCCCCAAGGTAGCAATGAGAGGTATCAATAAAAGGGGTTAAAACACCCCAGGTCACATCCCTCCAGAACTCCTGTTACAGAACTCTCCCAGCAACCCAAATTAAAAAATATATATATATATATATTTTCTTTTAAAGTGGCCTTTCACTCAACATTCTCCTTCCTAATCCTTTTCTCAGTACCAAGAATAAATATATGTTAAAAACAAATTAAAAGTAAATAAGGGCTTATTTTTCCCCGCAGAGCCAGCAGTTTTCTCTCCTCACATGAATTTAAACCTCTCTAGCTATTCCTATCAGTGAACATTATTTAACCCCTCCATGATTTAAATGCATCTGAATGCTTTGACATAATATTGCTAAGTAATACTAATGTCACTAAAGGTAAAAAATAGCACGAACTGTTTACCACATGCTAGGCTCGTTCCTTTAGATATACATAAAATATTTCCAGAAACAGGCTCTCACTCTGTTGCTCAGGCTGGGGTGCAGTGGCGCAATCATTGCTTGCTGCAGCCACGACTTCCTGCCTCCTGGGTTCAAGCAATCCTCCCATCTCAGCCTCCTGAGTAGCTGGGACTACAGGTGCATACTACCATGGCCAGCTAATTTTTGCTTGTTTGTTCTTGTAGAGGCAGGGTCTCTGTTGCTTATGCTGGTCTCAAACTCCTGGCTTCAAGCAATCCTCCTGCCTGGCCTCCCAAAGTGTTGGGATTACAGGCATGAGCCACCATGCCCAACCTAGGCTCATTTCTAAATGTTTTACATGTACTAATTCATTGAATCATGCCAAGAGCACTCTGAGGCATGTTAACATTACTATCCTAGTTTTAGAGAGGAGGGAGCTAGAATAGAGTTACTAAAAAAGCAGGCACAGTTGTTCGGCAAACGACATTGCATGAAATGCATGCAATGCATCCAGTCGACAAAGTGTTAGTGGGAAACCTCCACTCCCTCAGTTTCATGCTTTCATTTGTAGAACTTTCCATTAGCCTAATAGTTCAGCCTTCTCTCCCACCTTCTCCCTGGTGGAGGAGAAGTTAATTATGTGAATAGCGAGTTTGGGAGAAAGGCTACCCTGCTCATAGATGGAGTGTATTCCAGGCTGTTGCCTTCTACATTGAAAATCAGTCTCACTCAAGTATGAAATACCAGAAAACCCATTTGGCCAACCAACTTTATTTCCAAATCTCTATATTTCAAATTCCTATTGGTATATCCATTGGTCCCAAAATTGGACGAGAAAAAAAAGGTGTCATTCAACTGTCCACTCTGCCAAACTCTAACACAAATAACTTTAATTCCTAACTGGGTGGCAAGATATTTGAGAAAAAGGTAAATATTTCTTTTACAAAAAAAAGGAAACCAAAACTCAAAGGTATGTAAGAACATAACCAGTCCAGTCCAATAAGGTGTCTGCAGAGGAGATCATGAATGAACCTGCTCCTCTAACTGACCGTCAAGGGACATCTTAAAGGACAAGGCTATTTATCTACTTTCTTTACCACGTATAACCAGAAAACACTGCTTCCTTACCAAATAAATAAAACGCACACAGATAACCTTTTCTATTGGAGCATCCTAATTTAAAGTAGTAGAAAATTCCTTAGCAGTAGTCTCATTATTGTCACAAAGCATGCAAAGTATTTCAGTATTGCACATTATCTTCCCAGTCTGTCAAAGTCTGTATTTTTATCCATTGCATGGATACTTCTACCATAAAAAGTATAGTGACAAAAATACTACCCACAACTTGGTAACAGAGGAATAAAAATGTCACTAATCTCTAACTTTGTCATTTGATCTTTCCTATCACCCTCCAAAGGCAATGTTTCTCATTTCAAAAATACATTTTAAAAGACATTCATTAACTTGCTTTTATTTTTTTATTTTTTTAATTATACTTTAAGTTCTGGAACACATGTGCAGAACGCATGGGTTTGGTTAAAGATAAAAAACAAAACAAAACAAAACAAAAGGGCGTTCATTCAATAATACTGACTTTTTCTGCTGTAGATTTTTTTTTTTTTTACTTTTGAGTTCAGGGGTACATGTGCAGGTTTGTTACATAGGTAAACTTGTGTCATGGGGGTTTGTTGCATAGATTATTTCGTCACCCAAGTATTAAGCCCAGCATCCATTAGGTATTCTTCCTGATGCTCTCCCTCCCCCACCGCCCCCCTCTGACAGGTCCCAGTGTGTGTTGTTCACCTCTATGTGTCCACGTGTTCTCATCATTCAGCTCCCACTTGTAAGTGAGAACATGCAGTGTTTGGTTTTCTGTTCCCACATTAGTTTGCTAAGAATAACGGCCTCCAGCTCCATCCATGTCCCTGGAAAGGACATGATCCTGTTCTTTTGGATGGCTGCATAGTGTTCCATGGTATGTATGTACCACATTTTCTTTATCCAGTCTATCACTGATGGGCATTTAGGTGGATTCCATGTCTTTGCTATTGTGAATACTGCTGCAATGAACATACCTGTGCATGTGTCTTTGTAATAGAACAATTTATATTCCTTTGGGTATATACCCAGTAATGAGATGGCTGGGTTTGTTTAATTTGTATAAGTTCCTTATAGATTCTGGATATTAGACCTTTGTCAAATGTATAGCTTGCAAAAATTTTCTCCTATTATTTAGGTTATCTGTTTACTCTGCTGATAGTTTCTTTAACTGTGCAGAAGCTCTTTAGTTTAATTAGATCCCATTTGTCAATTTTTGCTTTTGATGAGACTACTTTTGGCATCTTCTTCATGAAATCTTTGCCTGTGCCTATTTTAATGCAGATAATTTGAGCTTCCTGCTTTACTATTCAAACTGCACTTAATAAGAATGGTTTCCTTAGTGTTCTATGAGCAAAAATTTCAAAATAGAAAACAAGCCATGTTTATCTCATAAGTTTAGAATATTTACTTTTCCATAAATGTATATAGGAAAAGTCAGTCAATCAGCTCTCTCAGCTGGAGAGAACAAATAATAGCTAGACTAGCACTTAGATGCTTTGACTTTTGCAACAACCCTAATGTAGATAAGGCATCCCTGTTTTCCAAAGAAAAGCCTGAAGTTCAGAAAAATACAGTGACATGCCTAAGTTAACCTACTTACTAAGTGACGGGGCTCAATTTTAAACACAGTTCTTCTATTTGAGCCAAAGTTTGTGGTTTTTGTCTGCTAGAACACTAACCATGAAAACCAAAAATAACAACAACAACAAAAAAGTTTCTAAGTAGCCAGAGAAAAAAAGACAACATATGAGAAGAAGAAGAGGAATGATGGCAGACATCTCATTCGAAACAGGTGTCCAGAAAACAATAATCAACATCTAAAGAGAAGGAGAAAAAAAAGACTGAATGCCCACCTAGAATTCTATATACAACAAAAAAATCTTTTAAAAAATAAAGACATTTTCACACAAATGAAAATGAGAGATTTGTTGCCAGTAAACCCACACTATAAGAAATGCTGAAGGAAGCTCTTCAAGCTAAAGCAAAATGATACCAGATATAGATGTAAACCCATAGAAAGGAATGAGGAACCTTGGAAATAATACATTGTATGTTAACATAAAAGACTTTTTTTCTTAATTTATTTAAAACATATATGACTAATACATACTATATTAAAAGTATAATATTGTATTATATAGTTTGTGACATATATAGATATAAAATGTACAAAGACAATAGCACAACAGATGGGGAGAGGCAAATGAAACCATATTATTGTAGGTTTCTTATATTTTACATGAAGCAATACCATATTAATTCAAGGAAAATTTTTTACTAAGGGTGAATATTGTGATCTGCAGAGTAACTACAAAACAGTAGTGCAAAGAAAACCTGAGAGAAATGTAAATGTTATACTAAAAATATTCAATAAACAGAGACACAGAATTTTTTAAAAGTCTAAAGGATAAGACATATAGGAAACAAGTTTTAAAATGGTAGATCTAAAACTAACATGTCAATATACAGTAAATGTAAATAGACTAAACATTTAATTAAAAGGCAGAAATCACCAGAATACATTAAAAAATGATACTGAACTATATGGTACCTAAATAGATGCATTTTAAATACAAAGTCACAGATAAACATGTAATAAAAGGATATACCAGTAGAAACTCAATACAAAAACCAGACAAACATAATAAAAGAAGACTACAGACTTATATCCCTCATAAAACATACATGGAGAAATTCTCAACAAAATACAGTGCTGGCATAAGGACAGATGAATAGAACAATGGATCAAAACAGAGATCACAAATAGACACACACATATACGACCAACAGATTTTCTGACCAAGATGTCAAAATAATTCAGTGGGTGTAAGGATAATTTTTTCAACAAATTGAGCAGAAACAAATAAATATTCATAGGGAAAGAAAAATGAATCCTGACTCCTACCTCACACTAATAACAAAAATTACTTAGAGCTGAGAGTGGTTGCGTGCACCTGTAATCACAACTACTCAAGAGGCCGAGGTAAGAGGATCACTTGAGCCCAGGAGTTCATATCCATCCTGGGCAACACAAGAAGACCCCATTTATTAAAAAAAAAATACTTTGAGAGAGGTCATACAACTAATTATAAAAGCTAAAACTATAAAGTATTTTAGGAAAACGTAGAACAATGGCTTTGCAATGATGAGGTAGACAAAATACTACCAATAAAAGAAAAACTAGCTAGTTGGACTTCATCAATATCAAAACTGCTTTTTGAAAGACAAAGTTAAGAAAATGAAAAGGCAACCACCAACTGGAAAAAATTCACCATACATGTATCTGACCAAAGACACGTATCCAGAATATATAAAGAACCACCATAATTTAATTTTTGAAAAGTCACACAACCCAATTGTTAAAATAGTAAAAGATTTGACAAGATACTTCATAAAAGAGGACACATGAATGGCCAATAAGTACATGAAAAAATTTTCAACATCATTAGTCACCAAGGAAACAACAGGAATCTACAAGATACCACTTTACCTGCACTGGAATGCTAATTTTAAAAATACTGAAAAAAGCAAGAGTTGGCAAAGACTTGGAGTACATTAGAGCATCTCATAAGTTGCTGATGGGCATACTGAATTATAAAGCCCTTTAGAAAAATGTTTGACAATTTTTAAGTAAATTTTTTATAAGATTAAATATACACTTACCCAATAATATACTTCTAAGAACACACTCAAAAGACATGAAAACTTGTGAACTTGTGTCCACAAATGTTGCGGGAAGTCAGGGACCCCAAATGGAGGGACTGGCTGAAGCCATGGCAGAAGAACATAAATTATGAAGATTTCATGGACATTTATTAGTTCCCCAAATTAATACTTTTATAATTTCTTACGCCTGTCTTTACTGCAATCTCTGAACATAAATTGTGAAGATTTCATGGACACTTATCACTTCCCCAATCAATACTCTAGTGATTTCCTACGCCTGTCTTTACTTTAATCTCTTAATCCCGTCATCTTCGTAAACTGAGGATGAATGTCACCTCAGGACCCTGTGATGATTGTGTTAACTGTACAAATTGTTTAAACAATATGAAATCTGGGCACCTTGAAAAAAGAACAGGATAACAGCGATGTTCAGGGAACAAGGGAGATAACCTTAAAGGCTGGCTGCCTGTGGGCTGGGTGGAACAGAGCCATATTTCTCTTCTTTCAAAAGCAAATAGGAGAAATATCACTGAATTCTCTTTCTCAGCAAGGAACACCCCTGAGAAAGAGAATGCATTTCTAAGGGGAGGCCTCTGAAATGGCTGCTTTGGGAATGTCTGTCTTTTACGATTGTAGATAAGGGAAGAGATAAGCCCCCATCTCCCCTAGTGCTCCCAGGCTTATTAGGATGAGGAAATTCCCACCTAATCAATTTTGGTCAGACCGGTTGTCTGCTCTCAAACCCTGTCTCCTGGTAAGATGTTATCAATGACAATGCGTGCC